>NC_000010.11:7131212-7282727 GCF_000001405.40 Homo sapiens | reverse complement strand
ACTCAGAGGCTCTAATTGAAAACACTTCCTGGTCCTGTGTCCCGTGTGTTTGCATTTGCATTAAGTTTGACAGGCTTAGAGACGCGTAATGTGGTATTTTATTAGTATTATTGCTGTCAAAATGTTGAGAAGCAGCCAACACCTCCATCTCTATCCTGAGTAATTTTTGACTCTGATGACAAACAAAGAGCCTGTCGTGTTGTGAAGAAGGATGTAAGCCCGGGTTTGCCCTGGGATTCATAACCCAGCAGGAAAAATTTACTTTGTGCGTAAAGTTGTGTGTATACATCTCTGCTTAGTATCTAATTGCTTTATAAATTTTAGGAGCAATATCTACTTGCCAGTGTACAAATTTACAGCAAAGCAAAGGATGACTAGTGGCTTCTTATGTTCTCTGTGATGTTTCTTTCCTGGGAAGTTATGGGACTCACGCTCACGAGCAGGAATGGAACATGCCTCCGTGGAAGCTTAGGAAATACTCGCTTATGAGCTGTCTCCCTCTTTAGATAATTTGGGGTCTTTATAATATATGAATAAATTGTGTTTACTTGTCTTAGCATTTTCTGGAAATGAGTTGTTCATTTAACTGAAGACTTCTTGGGGGCCCCTGAAGATTCTGGAACAGGCAGGGCATGATGGCTCACGCCTGAGCTCAGGAGTTGGAGACCAGCTGGGGCAATATGGTGAAACCCTGTCTCTGAAAAAAATAGAAAAAACTGGCTAGGCATGGTGGCATGCACCTGTAGTCCCAGCTACTTAGGGGGCTGAGGTGGGAGGATCGCTTGATCACAGGAGAGGAGGCTGCAGTGAGCCAAGATTGCTCTGCTGCACTCCAGCCTGGGTGACAGAGTGAGACTCTGTGAAAACAAACAAACAAAAAAAAGATTCTGGAAAAGACATTCATCATCAAGAACTTACTTCCCCGATATTTAAATCATCAACAGGAAAGGTTATGTACAGGAAGAAGAAACTAAAAAGTGACAAGACACTCCAAAAGTGTGATTTTGAGTTCCTCAGATCCAGTAGTTTCAAGATGGAAACTGGATTCTGCTACATCATTCAGCAGAACAGCATCCCTGGGAAGAGAGGCTGTACTACCCCTGTTGTACACATGGGGACAGATTCTAGTACTTTGTATTTGTATAAATTGATTTCAAGTCCCACGGTGACTTGTGTGACTTACGTGGTAGCACCACTTCCTTAACTGGAATCTAGGCGAGAATAAAACTTCATACCTGCATAGAAAATACTAGGCCGATTTTCTCGTTTTCCCAAACACTATGAAGGCACTGGAAAGTGTTCTGCTTCCATGACCGATGGGGAGAAGTCCAGTGGGAGGGGGGTGTGCAGGGGAGAAGAGCATACTCCCCACGAGCTCTTCCCTGCTGCCGGGACCATCTGCTCTGCACTCCCACTAACACCACCACCATTGTTAAAAATAATCATCCTTTAGTTTTACTTACTATTTATTTATTTATTTTTGAGACAGGGTCTCACTCTGTCTCCCAGGCTGGAGTGCAGTGGCATGATCTCGGCTCATTGCAGCCTCAACCTCCCAGGTTCAAGTGATCTTCCCATCGCAGCTTCCCAAGTGGCTGGAACTACAGGCATGTGCCACCATCCCTGGCTAATTTTTTAATCTCTTATTTTGTAGAGATGGGATCTCACTATGTTGCTCAGGCTGGGCTTGAACTCCTGAGCTCAGGTGACCTGCCCACCTCAGCCTTCCAAAGTGCTGGGCTTACAGGCATGAACCACTCCACGTGGCCCTTGTTTTACTCTTTAAAGGGTACAGTATTTCTCAACTGTTCAGCAAAATAGAAGAGAAATGGGTCATAGAAAGTAGCTAGGAAGTTAGCCTTCAAAAACCTGGGAAAAGGAACTAGATTTTATACTCTCCACCTCTGAGAAACACAGGGCCATTGAGCCTTTCTCTTTTTGCCCTGAATCAGAGGAAATAGCATTCTGGTGCTTGGGGAAGGAGGAGGGGAAAGAAACCACCTTACCCTGTACCATGGGGATAAGGATATCTTGCTGGGCTGCTGAGTGGTGTAATGTATATCAAGAGATTGGCCTTTTCTAGACATTTAATCTGTGATCAGAGTCTTAAGGTTGTACTTTGATTTTCCAAGGAATGTAAGTACGTCATTGAGGTTAGGGTCGTTTAAGAAGCCCACCTGCTCTCCTATTTCTGGATGTTTAGAAAATAAGATAGACTTTTAGATATTCTTGCAGATGCTAAGGAGATGAAACTTTTTGAGTTTCTTTTTCTTTCTCTATTTCTAGAATTTATTCCCTTGTTTTTTTCCTTCAAAATTATTTTATCACCCCCTCCCCCCATTTTTTTAGTGCTTGTTTTAGATCTTGGAGTCAGGAAGTTTCTGAATCCAACTTAAATACTTTCTGCCTGAACTATTACTTAGTCCAAAAGTGAGTTGGACTACATTAATCTGTTCAAGCTGCCATAACAAAATGCCACAGGCTTTATGGCTTAAACAACAAACATTTACTTCTCAGAGATCTGGAGGCTGGAAGTGTGAGATCAGGGTGCCAGTGTAGTTGAGGTCCCAGGAGGGCTCGCTTCCTGGTTTGCAGACAGCCGCCTTCTGACTGTGTCCTCACATAGTAGATCAAGAGAGAACTCTGGTGTCTCTTATAAGGACACAGATCTCATTTGAGGACCCCACCCTCATAACTCCATCTAACTCTAATCATCTCCCAAAGGCATCCCTTTGGGGTTAGGGCTTCAAGTAAGAATTGTGAGGAGAAACATTTAGTCCATAACACTTTCTCTGACGTTTACTATCTTTTAACAACATAGATTCATCTTTCTTCACTGGATAGGACCTGGAGGAGCAGAAGGACATAGAAGTTTTTTGGAGGGAGGTGGATAAAAGAAGAGTTGTTTCTCTAGGTCTTTGTTTATTGATGATTATGTTATGCATTACTGCTTCCTGTGGCACTTATTAGGAAATGCCCCATCAAACCCTTGCACAAAAGGAGATTGCCTCGTTTTTCTTGTAGGCTTCTAGTTTCAGAGGAATCGGGACATGTTTTAATTGCTCACGACCTTCCCAGAAACAGAAACTGGCATGATTTACTTTATTCAGTTACCTGCAACACGATCATTTTAAGAAAATGGTCGATGTTCTTTGAATGGTACTATTTATTGTCCATTAACTTGCTAGTATAACCAGCATGACTCCATCTCACGGAATGCACATGGGGACTGTTGTTCTCTGCTGGTTGTGTCAGGCTGTCAAAACTGCAGTTGATTTTCACCTTTTCATGAAAGAAGTCTGCCTTGCTGTGGGCTGGGTTCATTCCAGGATTTAACACCATTGGAAAGAAAACAGAGAATCTTCAGGTTGTAGGACAGAGGCAGGACCCACCTGGCACCTGGGCTTCTTGTTACCTTTGTCTCTGGTGTGGAGGAGGAGAGATGGCATCCAGTGGACAGAGGAGTTCATTTTTCAGGGATGACTTGGTTGGTCTGCCTTCCTGGGCCAGCGTGCAGGCAACCCCACTGGGGCCAGAGCATCCTCTCCGTGAGTTCTCATAGCTTGGATCTAACCCTGGTCATGTTGGATTTCCATTCCTCCTGGCCTTAAGTTTTTTTTTTCTTGTTTGTTTGGTTTTTTTTTTTGGAGATGAAGTGCAGTGCAGTGGCACAATCTCAGCTCACTGCAACCTCCGCCTCCAGGGTTCAAGCGATTCTCCTGCCTCAGCCTCCCGAGTAGCTGGTATTACAGACGCCTGCCACCGCACCCAGCTAATTTTTGTTTTTGTTTTGTTTTGTTTTTTTAAATTTTATTAGAAGTGAGGTTTCACCATGTTGGCCTGGCTGGTCTTGAACTCCTGACCTCAAGTGATCCACCCACCTCAGCCTCCCAATGAAGGTGTTTTTTGACCATTCTTATACCTTCTCTTCTGTCTCAGGGCATCCCTCCCCCATTCAGAGACCACCATCAAGGGTCAAGGGTATAACTAGTCCTGATTCCCAAGCAAGGGGCCAAAGGTGTCAGCCAGGTAGATCATGCTTTTCCTTTTTGCACCTGTTGGGTCTTCAAATTCTTTCTTTGGTAATCCCCATTGTTTTCTGTGAGCTGGTCCTTTTCCTACCATGCCCAGGTTGAACTCTCCATCTGCCTGCCCAGCTTGCTGGAAAGGGGCATGTGTTTATGGTCCCTGTCCCATCAGGAGCTCCAGCCTGTTGGCAATTTCTCTCCTGATCCTGCGTTGGCGTCCTCAGGGCTTTGCTCCCCGGGGTCCCCTGAGTGGCCTTCTGTCTCTCCGTGGTTTGGATGCAGTGCCCACGAGCTTGCCTGAGTGCACAGGTATCCCTCTCGCTCTCATGGAGCAGCTTGCAGGGGGCTCTGTGAACTGGTCCCTGTGCCTACTTTTGGGGATCCTGTGATAAGCAGTGTCTTCCTGAGTGCCCCCTTCTCACTGTGGACATCAGAGGCCCCATTCTTTCAGTCTCCACAGAAGTGTGTGTTGAGGCCCATTGAGTGTTCCCAATTACGTTAGCTACTACTAAGAAGAATTTAGAAAGGCCAAACTAGAAGAAAAAAGTTCAGCAGACAGGAAACACTAGAAAGGATTATAGACAATGCACACACGCAGAGGATGTGTGGTTGTGAATTACCCTTTGTGTGTCTTTGTGTAAGTAACAATGACTTCGGGCAGTGCACCGATGGCTTGGCTAGTTCTGGCAGGATCTGATACTTACTGTAATTATGACTGAATAAACTGCGGAAACAGGGGCTTAAAGCTCAAGGTGAGTTCAAAAGCTATGAGGATCAAAATAGATCGCTTCATGCTAAAAAGCAGACATGCAAGAAATTAAAAATACAGTCCCAAAGGTTTACTGTTGCTTTTTAACTGTGCTTAATTTCATATTCATATCCTAAGCGTCTGTCTGAAGTAGCCTGGGTTGATATATTGAAGGCATAAACATATCTACTTCCAGTGAGGGCTTCTGCAAATCCTATTTTGATAAGGTCTTAAATCTGTTGAGATCAGGCCATAAAATTCTCCTGCAGTTTCAGCAATAGGTAAAAACAGTGCTCAACGTTTTTTTTTTTCCTTTTAATTTTGCATTCAGACTGTGTAACCTCCATCTGTAAATCTTGCCCCCCCTCCCACTGCCTGGGGAAAAATATGGGCAACATGTGGTGTGTTAAGCAACATTTCAAGTGTAAATATTAAACTTGGTAAATTTTAATTTACCTTTTAATAATTTTCTGACTTACAGGGACTATTTTTAGCAGATGAGAGCTTAGAGATTTAGTGAAAATATGTTGTCATAACTGCAAATGCCAGACTAGAGTCGTTTGTAGTTTAGAAATGTATCAGATAATAAGTTCCTCATCAGTGGGCATTGCTTTCCTAGGTGATAGGTGGAATTTTGGCCCATGGATGACTGAAGGTTTTTGCTAATGTGATTAATACCATTAAATTACTTACAGAATGCCAACTAAATGCATACAAATGTTCCCTGAAGAAGAGCTCTATTAAGTTTATTCTTCATTTCTGACAGCAGAATCCCAAGTTGCTATTTAATTTCAGAAAGTCCTTTCAGCAGGTGGCTGCTCATGGTGGGTATGGGGTGTGAACACTCACGGTCACTGACCGTGCTGAGGTATCAGGAAAGCCTGGGAATTAGCATGCAGGAAAGAGTCACCCGGCAGAACGTGTTAGTCCTTCAACTCTTCTGTGATTTGCTGTTGATACAGAAATCTATCCTTTGAAGATGGCCTCTGAATGGAAATGTACTCTGGAAAAATCCCTTATTGATGCTGCCAAATTTCCTCTTCCAATGGAAGTGTTTAAGGTAAGATGTTGATTCTTAGCAATGTATCTACCCTTTTTGAGAATAAAATCATCTACAAAGTTTTCCGGCCGGGCGCAGTGGCTCATGCCTGTAATCCCAGCACTTTGAGAGGCTGAGGTGGGCGGATCACGACATCAGGAGATCGAGACCATCCTGGCTAACATGGTGAAACCCTATTTCTACTAAAAATACAAAAATTAGCCAGGCGTGTGGTGTGTGCCTGTAATCCCAGCTACTTGGGAGTGTGAGGTAGGAGAATTGCTTGAACTGGGGAGGCAGAAGTTACAGTGAGCTGAGATCGCACCATTGCACTCCAGCCTGGCAACAGAGTGAGACTTAATCTCCAATAAAATAAAAAGTTTTCCATACCAAATCCTTTTCCACTTGAAAAGGCACCTTCTTAACCAGTTTCCATTTTAAATGCTTAAGGTTTTATCTGTTTCATGTTGCTTTTTAAAAAAATAATCTTCATAATGACCCATATTACAAGATGCTGATTAAAATTGTTTAGGTTTACTGACTTTCTTTGTAGCATATTGTTATGGAAATATTTTCACCCCCTCACTTCCTACTACAGAAACAAAAGGAAATATAGCAAGTCTAATTTTGACATTTAGTAAAAATGACAGAAAATGACTCATCTCGTGGTGGTTCAGTTTTCTTGATGTCCCGAGGTTCTGCTAAGTACCAGGCCTTCCACCAGGTGCTCCCGTGAAAATGAAGGGCTTGTGAAATGCATCTCCACCAAAACGGCTACCAAGTTCTTTACACTTCAAAAATTATGCTTCACACTTACGTGAAATAGAATATTAGGTTCTGGACAAAGATGGTCCATTCAGGTTCATCCAAGGAAATCATAAAACAGGCCCATGGAGTGTGGGCGGCGACCCAACACCATTGGCGTCCTTGGACAGTTCTCAATGTGGTTGTGACGGGCAGACATCCAGTTGCTTCCCAGCCCTGGGGTGGCACGTGTCTGCAGAGTCGTACAAGTTTCATGTAGAAGATGTACTTAATGTGGTACAGCAGAGTTTAAGGATTTAGTAGGGGACGTGGGCTTCCTGGATTTTACTGACACCTAAGTCCTCACTCAGCCTTTTAAGCAGCTGTGGCAAATCATTGACCCTTTCATTCAGTACTTCCCCTGTTTGTAAAATTGGACTATTAAGATCTCCCCCTTAACTTAGCCATGTGATTATGTTGTGACGTTTAACTGAATGATGATTTTTACAGTGTTTGGGGGCTCCTGTACTGGAGGAACAGTGTAAATATAATACACTGTTAGCATGATATTGACCGACAGTGAAGCCGACAGTTGTGGTGGCCAATGTTGTTATTTTTTGCCTCACTGACCAAATCTTTCTCTCTTCTCCTCTTTGTCTTCCTCTTCCTCTCCTTCCCTCTTCTCTCCCTTTTATTCTTCCTTCCTTTAATACTGTCCTGCCCTTACAAAAACGATGAAGAGAAACAGCCTTTAATGTTGGACCTCTCAGCTCTGCCACCCCCACCAGAGCCAGCCTGTCCTCGTCTCCCCTGCCCCTTTCTCTTCACCGTGGCCTCAGTCATCTTTGAATGTGAATCAAATCCAATCACATCCTTCACCCTTGAAAAAATAAATTTTATTTTGACGTACCCTATACACACATGTGAGGAGTTGAAGGAGTGAGCCAATGGGAAATTACAGATGCCCACCCTCCGGTCTAAGCCTCGGAGCTGCCAGGCCAGTGAAGCCCCCGCTGCAGCCCCAGGTCTGCCTCCCTGCGGGACCAGGGCACCCGGGGCCTCACAGCTGTGCGGGTCCTGCCTGTGCCTCTCTTTGTGGCGTTCCAGCCTGTGTATGCTTCCCTAAGTGGGATGCTGAGTCCTGTTGACAGGATGGGAAGTGGGCACTGTCCTCATTGTTCAGAGAGGGCCCTTTCCCTACTCTGAAGAGGGAAGAAAGCTGGATGTGGTCTGGGCACCACACTGGCTTTGCTTTTCCTCAGAGTGGATGAGGATTCAGTAGGTGAAGTCGTGAGCTAATTTTTTTTTTTTTTGGAGAAACGGTGTCACTCTGTAACCCAGGCTGGAGTGCAGTGGGGTGATCATAGCTCGCTGTAGTGTCAAACTCCCAGGCTCAAGCCATCCTCCTGTCTCAGCCTCCCAAGTAGCTAGAACCACAGGCATGCACCAGCACACCTAGCTAATGTATTAGTTTGTTCTCATGCTGTTAGGGAAGACATACCTGAGACTGGGTGATTTATAAAGGAAAGAGGTTTAATTGACTCACAGTTCAGCAAAGCTGGGGAGGCCTCAGGAAACTTAAAATCATGGCAAAAGGGGAAGCAAAGATGTCCTTTTTCACATGGCAGCAGGAAGGAGAATAAGAGCTGGATGAAGGGGGAAGGCCCTTATCATCAGATCTCATGAGAGCTTACTCACTATCAGGAGAATAGCATGGGAGAAACCGCCTGCATGATTCAATTACGTCCCCACAACATGTGGGGATTATGGGAGCTATAATTCAAAATGAGATTTAGGTGGGGACACAGCCAAACCATATCAGCTAATTTTTAGATTTTTTGTTTCTGTACAGATGGGGTCTCACTGTGTTGCCCAGGCTGGTCTCAAATCCTGGGCTCAAGTGATCCTCCTGCCTTGGCTTCCTAAAGTGCAGGGATAACAGGTGTGAGCGACTGCACCTGGTCTGTGAGCTAATCTTAAGAAGACGAGGGGTTACCACACTTGCTTCTACTGAAGTTGCAGCATGAACTCTCAGTACTGGAGGTCACATCCCTTAGAAATGTGGGCAGGGGCTGCATAGTATTCCATGGTGTATATGTGCCACATTTTCTTAATCCAGTCTATCACTGATGAACATTTGGGTTGGTTCCAAGTCTTTGGTATTGTGAATAGTGCTGCAATAAACATCCGTGTGCATGTGTCTTCATAGCAGCATGATTTATAATCCTTTGGGTATATATCCAGTAATGGGATGGCTGGGTCGAATGGTATTTCTAGTTTTAGATCCTTGAGGACTCGCCACACTGTCTTTCACAATGGTTGAACTAGTTTACAGTCCCACCAACAGTGTAAAAGTGTTCCTATCTCTCCACATCCTCTCCAGCACATTGGGACATGGATGAAGCTGGAAACCATCATTCTGAGCAGAGTATTGCAAGGACAGAAAATCAAACACCGCATGTTCTCACTCATAGGTGGGAATTGAACAGTGAGAACACTTGGACACAGGGTTGGGAACACCACACACTGGGGTCTGTCGTGGGGTGTGGGGAGGGATAGCATTAGGAGATACACCTAATGTAATTGGTGAGTTAATGGGTGCGGTACACCAACATGGCACATGTATACATATGTAACAAACCTGCACGTTGTGCACATGTACCCTAGAACTTAAAGTATAATTTAAAAAAATACATTAAAAAAATGTGGGCGGGGGTTGGTTGGTTCTTGTTTTCTGATTTTACAACTTAGCTCTCAGGAGCAGGCTGAAGTTCACTGTTTCTTTGCAGTGGAATGAATGTTCTCATCTTGTCTAGACAGCTGGACCAGGAGTAGGACCCAACTTAGGAATCTTTTTAGTGTAGTCAAAATAAGCTGAATATTGTTAACAATCTTGGTCTGGCTGACTTTGGCATTGTGTCCGTAGGTTGCAAAGATGATAAAATGCTGTCTACATTTCCTTCTCACTAAAAGTGGCTAAAAATGTCTGTCTTATCCATATACTTTATTGATAGTTTGTGTGGGTGTAGAATTTTAGGTGAGCTATCATTTGTCTCAAGAATCAGAGGTTTTGGCTGGGGCGTTGGTGGCTCACGCCTGTAAGCGCAGCACTTTGGGAGGCCGAGACGGGCAGATCATTTGAGGTCAGGAGTTCTAGACCAGCCTGGCCAATATGATAAAACCCTGTCTCTACTAAAAATACAAAAAAATTAGCCGGGCATGGTGGCATGCATCTGTAATCCCAGCTACTCAGGAGGCTGAGGCAGGAGGATTCCTTGAACCCGGGAGGCAGAGGTTGCAGTGAGCTGAGATTGCACCACTGCACTCCAGTCTGGGCGGCAGAGCAAGACTCTGTCTCAAAAAAATGAAAGAGGGTAGGGGGGATTAGAATGTGGTGGTCAGCCCCTGGAGTGTGGCTTGTGGGCTGCTTCTTGTCCTGTAGTATTTCCTCTTTGGCTGGTTTTCCAGGGAGAGCTTTTCAGTCTCCCAATGTCCCACCTGGGGCTCCAGGTCTGACTGCCAGCGTTCCAGGAGCCACGTGGAGAGAAGAGGGCTGGGTGCTGGCCTGCAGTGTTGGTTCCTGCCCCAGCCTGTTCAGAGAAGGCTGAGACAGGGATCAGGGAGGCTGTGGGGGGCGTCTAACTGCCTCTGCTTCCCAGTCACCTCCCCATGCTTATATCTTAAGCTCCTGTCAACCCCCCGGTTTCGGACATATCTGGTGGGACTCGTTTCAGAGCCTTTCAAGGCTTCTGTAGGAGCCACTGTGTTGGTGCTCAGCTTTTCTGCTGAAGGCCTGGGATTTGGCTTTGCTGAATGTGTGAAATTACTCACTTCTTCTTCATCAGCTTTTTTGCCTCCTTACCTTTGTGTGCTGAGTGGGTGTGTCTTTTTTAAAAAAAGTCTCTGGACTGTAGTTTTGGTTAGAGTTTAGGAGGAGGTGAAATGAATGTGGGTTTTCAGCCTGCTGTTTTAACCTGGCACTGCTGTTGAAAAGAATCTTGTTGTTTGGACTCTAGGGTACGATCAAGCTGCCACATCCTTCCTGGACATGCTGAGCCTGGGGAGATTTTTCACTCGCTCCCCTGTGCAGTGTCTCCTTCCGTGCCCCTCCTTGCTGTACCAGGAGGTGCACTTGTTATGTTTCTGTAACGCCCTTTGTACCTTGATATGGTTTGGCTCTGTGTCCCCACCCAAATCTCATCTTGTAGCTCCCAGAATTCCCACATGTTGTGGGAGGGACCCGGTGGGAAATAACTGAATCATGGGGGTGGGTCTTTCCCATGCTGTTCTCGTGATAGTGAATAAGTCTCACGAGATCTGATGGTTTTAAAAATGGGAGTTTCCCTGCAGAAGCTCTCTTCTCTTGTCTGCTGCCATGTGAGACGTGCCTTTCATTTTCCACTATGATTGTGAGACCTCCCCAGCCATGTGGAGCTATAAGTCTAATAAGCCTCTTTCTTTAGTAAATTGCCCAGTCTCGGGTACATCTTTATCAGTGAAAATGGACTAATGCATACCTATTTTGTTCTGTTAAAGTCCTACTCATCTTTCATTTTCAAATATAGATTCCCCAAAGGAATCCTTCCCTGGACCCCTGACCCTGGCCCAGATGAACTTGAGCCTCTGTTGGTGTCCTTCAGCAGCTTGTTCTGTCACAGTTATGCTTAATCATTTGTGCAGCTCCTTGTATAATACCGGCCTCTTTTTGCCTAACTTTGAAGCTCCAGGAAGGCAAGGACTGTGTCTTTCCTGTCCATTCTTAGAAACATACTTTCTTGACCATAGTAGCACTCATTAAATACCTGTCCAATAAATGCGTGAATTCATGGACATATGTCTTCAACTCCTTGAATTTAATTTTTTTTTTTTTTTTTTTTGGAGGCAATCTTGCCCTGTCACCCAGGCTGGAGTGCAGTGGCATGATCTCAGCTTGGCCCCCTGCAACCTCTGCCTCCTGGGTTCAAGAGATTCTCCTGCCTCAGCCTCTCAAGTAGCTGGGATTACAGGCATGCACCACCAGGCCCAGCTAATGTTTTTTGTATTTTTAGTAGAGCTGGGGTTTCACCATGTTCGCCAGGCTGGTCTTGAACTCCTGAACTCAAGCAATCCACCCACCTCGGCCTCCCAAAGTGCTGGATTTATAGGCGTGAGCCACCATGCCTGGCCTGAATTTAAAATTTTTGAGTTCATATATAGATTAAATGGACATGCACACTTTTTTAGAGGTATGAATACTAAGACTCAAAAGGTATACACATTAATCATTCTAATATATTTGTAATTAAAAATTAACTAATTCATTAAACATTTATTGTCTTTGCACAAAGCTATTATGTGCTGTTGACCTGATTCCAGAGTTTAATAGTTTGTTCATATTTTCCAAAATACAATTACCTTACCTTCTTCCCTCACTTTAATTTCTTCCCATAAGAATTCAGACTATTATTTTGGTAGGGTATGTGAGCATTATCATCTTATTCAGTATTTTGTGCATAATTAAGGAGTGCTTTAAGAGCAGATACTGAATATTACTTTTGGGCCTCTCATGAGGCAGGGTGTGGGGTTAGGCACTTTATAAATAGACATTAGTTGCATTGAATATTATGTGTTCTTAAAGCTGGTGAGATACTTTCATTAATGTTTTCTCTTATTTCAGTTCAATGGAAGAGACACAGGAGGTTTCTTAACTATATTTTGTAATGAGTGAGAATCTACACGTTTAATTTGGAGGGTGTGAGAACATCATTTTCTTAGTTTGCAAAGGCTACTGTCACAAATTCCCATGGACTGGATGACTTAGAATGACAGAAATTTGTTCTCTCATGCTTCTGGAGACTAGTGTGTGAAATCAGGGTGTCGGCAGGACCACACTCCCCTGAAGGCTCTGGGTGGAAGCAGAGGGCGGCCCTGGCTTCTGGGGTCGCCTGTGTCCTGGGCTTTGCTTGGTCTGTGGCCACCTCCCTCGGTTCCCTGCCTCCAGGTTCACATGGCCTTCTCCACATCTGTTCAAATTTCTCTCTGCTTACAAGACAACCGTCATTTGACTGGCCCTGTGTGAATCCCATCCAACTTTGTCTTAACTCAATTGCAGTTACAAAGACCCTATTTTCAAATAAGGTTGCATGATAGCTTCTGGGTGAGTATGAATTTGCAGGGAGACACTCTTCAACCCAATCTGATCGCATTTCATGTATGTACAGAAATCTTAGAAATAACACAGTGGCACTCTCTACTGACTTCCTCTGCTTACACGAAGGTAATGTTCAGAGAAATGGTATGGATGCATGGGATGAGGATCCAACTGTCTTAGCAGTTGCTTCATTTATTTAAAAAAAAAAAAAGAGAAATCTTCTCTCAAGTTTTTAGAAGTTCTAGCAAGCAGTATTCTTTGTGCAGGATCCAAAAAGAGACACACACACACACACACACACACACACACACACACACACACACGCACACACTTACTTGCTTTTTTTCTCTGTTATCACTGTTGATCATCACTGTTTCTCAGCAGGCAGACTTTTTTCTAGTTTCTTTCATTACGGTAAAAGGAATATGTGTTTGAATTCAGCAGTGAGTCATCTGAGATGCGTGTTGTTATGGAAAATTGCCATAGCGTTCAGCTGTTACGAGACAGAAGTCAAAGCTAAGCACATTTAATGGCCGGAGATGAGCGGTATTTCCAAGAAGTTCTTTTTATTATTTTTACACTTTAGATGAAATGGGTATTTGGATGGGATGAGTCCCATTATGCTGCGGTTGCTCACGTTGGGGGGATGTGTTCACACGTCTGTGTGGTTGTCGGTGTCTGTGCATGCAATGTGATTGAGCTCCTGGGTAGGTGTTCCTTTCTGTCTTGAATACAAACTGGAACAGTATGAGAACAAGCTCATGATTATTATTTCTACTGTTATTTATCTTTGATTTAAGAGATCACTGTGAATAGCTTTGGATGCCATACTTTACTGGGAATTCTGACTTACCTTATTTGGCAAATACAGATCATTTCCAAAATGTACATTCAGTTGAAGGATAAATAGTTGATGAAATAGGTTTAAAAAAACTCAAAGGACATTAAAAGCCTCATTTTATTGAAAAATAAATAATGACTTTTTTTTTCTTGAAGACGAACCCTGTTATTTAGAGGCCTAAAAGATTTGCCAAAACTATCCATATACTATCCATGTCTATAACAAGTCTGTAGAGGTGACTGCACTGTATATCACCGTGGCTCTCAGTGGATTTTAATTTAGAGCAGATGTCTCTGCATCACACAGCTGGGTGAGTCTCAGCTTTTGGAACACAAAGAAATCTTCCTTTTAAAAATCAACTTAAGATATGTTTAGAAAGTAGATAAAGGCCAGGTGCGGTGGCTTATGCCTGTAATCGCAGCACTTTGGGAGGCCGAGGTGGGTGAATCACCTGAGGTCAGGAGTTTGAGACCAGCCTGGCCAACATGGCGAAACCCTTTCTCTATTAAAAATACAAAAATTAGCTGGGCGTGGTGGTGGGCACCTGTGATCCCAGCTACTCGGGAGGCTGAGGCAGAAGAATCACTTGAACCCAAGAGGTGGAGATTGCAGTGAGCCGAGATCGTGCCACTGCACTCCAGCCTGGGCGACAGAGCGAGACTCTGTCTCAAAAAAAAAAAAATTAGATAAAACCTTTCTTTGACATAGTCACTTTGACCAATTTTGCAGCCTCTGGAAACCATCATTTGATTAACTTATGACATATCCCAATGTCCACTCAAGCAAAACGCCCCAGTTTCCATAAAAGCTTTTTATTTTTGTCTTTTGCGAAGGACTACTAGGAAGGGTTTCTGTCAGTTTGTTTCTGTCATCAAACAATGAAGTTTATTACAGGACAGACTCAGTCTTTTGGTCAATAATGTCTTTGTTGCCTCAGTTTTCCAGTTCACTGAGTGTATACTAAGAGACCACTAAAGGATTTTTTGGGGCTTGGTAAGTTTTAAAACTAGGGCTAGAGGAGACTAGAAAATAAAAGCCTATCAGTAATTGTAACATGTCACGTGTCTGACATTTACGAGCCTCCATATTACTTTTTCGTTCCCAGCAATTCTTATAAATCGTATTCCATATCTGAGATCCTACGTGTTTGCAAATATTAAATTGTACAAGTTTCACTGACAACTCATTTGTCCACCAAAAAGATCTATAAATAAGAAACAGCAATTCCCAATTTTCTAGTTAATGGAAATAAAATATTGTTTCCTTAGAGGAATACAGAAATATAGCTGGGAGAAGACAGAAGCTCTCTAGCTTACTTTGTTCATGACCACACCTTGTCACAGCAAGGAAGGGACATACCTGAAATGTCACTAACATCTATGATCCTTTTTTTATCCTTTAAAGAAGGGAAATTGTTGGAACTTTTTTGTGTTCTTTAAAAAAATATTGAAAATCTCAGTGTGTTTGAAATTCTAAATGAGCTACTCAGAGATTTGCCTTAGAGTGCAGGGAATTATGCATAAGACAACTGCACTTCTTTGGGAGGCTGAGGCTGGCAGATCTACTTGAGGTCAGGAGTTCTAGACCAGCCTGGCCAACATGGTGAAACCACATCTCTACTAAAAATGCAAAAATTAGCCAGAAGTCACTTGAACCCGAGAGGCGGAGGTTGCAGTGAGCTGAGATCTTGCTACTGCACTTCAGCCTGGGCAACAGAGTGAGACTCCATCTCAAACAAACAAACAGAAAGACAACTGCACTTGAGTCCAAAGCCTTGGCATCCTCCTTGTAGCCTCTCTCCGCTTCACACCTCTGTGTTGGGGATCCCCACATCTGCCCCAGGTTTGGTAATTTACTGAAAGGACTCACAGGATTCAGAAGTCATTACACTCATGGTTATAGGTTATTACAGTGAAAGGATAGAAAGCAGAATCAGCAATGGGGTGAAGTCCAGAAAACCAGACAGAAGCTTCCAGAGCCCCCTCCTGGAGGCGTCACACAGCACCCAGCTGTGACAAGAGGTGCCAGGTACTCTTCTACCAGGGCAGTTCCTTAGACACTCAGTGCTCAGGGTTTTTACTGGGGACTGGTCACATAGGAACCCTCTGCCTGGCACAGACCAGAATTCCCAACTCTTAGAAGGAAACCATAAACCAGATTGTTTGTACACACAGTTTAGACACAGCAAACCACTCTTATATTTAGGAAAAGTTTTAGATTGGTATAAGCTATTTTTTATCAGCCACATTTCCAGATTGCAGCCACAGACCCCCCCTTGCAGGCGAGCCCCCTCTGTGAGGACCACAGCCTAGGCCTCCCAGGTGAACCCTTCTCTGCACACTTCCATTCCACCCATCAGGAAATTTTGTTGGCTCTCCCTTCAAACTCTGTCCTGAACTCACTCTTCTGTGTAGCCTTTGCCACTGCCCAAGTCCAGGCCACCATCTCTGTCCCATGGACTGTCCCATCA
The DNA here is from genome assembly GCF_000001405.40 of Homo sapiens. Classification (NCBI taxonomy): domain Eukaryota; kingdom Metazoa; phylum Chordata; class Mammalia; order Primates; family Hominidae; genus Homo; species Homo sapiens. The sequence goes on along the minus strand of NC_000010.11, from coordinate 7,266,727 downwards.
CGCCAGAGCTTGTTTCCTGGCTTCTAGTCATTGCGTCCCCCGACTGCAGCCAGAGGGCTTCTGTTGAAACTGAAGTCAGATGGAGCCCCACTTTTGCTCCTGCCTCCCTGTGGCATGTCATCTCATCAGGGCGGGATGCCTGGGTCCAGTCGCCTGATGCTGGAGGCTTCACGTACCTGCCGTGCCCCCTCCAGCTCCCCACTATCCCACTGACACCTGCTTACTCCTGCCTAAGGCCTTTGTATAATGCCTGGTCTGCCTGGAAGGTCACCCCCAGATTCCTGCATGGCCCCTTCCCTCACTTCCTACGGGTGTCTGCTTAAAATTAGAAAACCCTGGACTGGGCGTGGTGGCTCATGCCTGTAATCCCAGCAGTTTGGGAGGCCGAGGTGGGTGGATCACCTGAGGTCAGGAGTTCGAGACCAGCCTGGCCAACATGGTGAAACCCCATCTCTACTAAAAATACAAAAATTATCTGGGCATGGTGGTGCTTGCCTATAATCCCAGCTACTAGGGTGGCTGAGGCAGGAGAATCGCTTGAACCCGGGAGGCGGAGGTTGCAGTGAGCTGAGATCATGCTATTGCACTCCAGCCTGGGTGACAGAGCAAGACTCTGTCTCAAAGAAAAAAAAAAAGGAAAGAAAACCGCACTCTGTTCCACTATCTCCCCTTCTGCGCACTCTCCCTGCTATCCTGGTTCAGCACTGATCTCAGCACTGATTCCCCCGACTATTATATAGCACTTTGCCTTTTATTTTTTAAATTTAATTTAAATAGTTTTTTGCATTTGGCCTCCTTCCCCTAGCTAGAATGCAGGCTCTGCGAGAGCCAAGTTTGTATTTCCATGACTGCTTTATCCTCAGTGCCTTCCGCAGTACCCAGGACATCATCAGTTCTCAGTAAATGTTCTTGAATGGGGATTCATGGGGATATAAGTCCAAAAATTAACTTAGAAGGATCAAAACATAGGAGAGGTCATCACTATAACTTAAATTAAGCAAGCCTCCTGTGAGTAGTTCTGAATAATAGAGATGACTAGCCTAAGAGGGGAATGGCTCCATTTATGGGATGGTGAGTTTACAACTAAGGATGGCACTTTTGTAATCAACTAAAAATACCCCAGCTCAGTTCTTTGCTAAGAAGAGGAAAGAGTTGAGAGCACTGAGAAGAGTATTTGGCCTCCCAATTAATTTCAATTCCTCATTGAAATTAAGAAGACATCTCAGGGGCCAGGCGCGGTGGCTCATGCCTGTAACCTCAGCACTTTGAGAGGCCAGGCGGGAGGATTGCATGAACTCAGGATTTCTAGACCAGCCTGGGCAACATGGTGAAACCCCATCTCTACACAATATACAAAAATTAGTCGGGCGTGGTGGCATGCGCATGTTATCCCAGCTACATGGGAGGCTGAAGCAGGAGAATCACTTGAACCCGGGAGGCGGAGGTTGCAGTGAGCTGAGATTGTGCCACTGCACTCCAGTCTGGGAGACAGAGCGAGACTTCATCTCAGAGAAGGAAGGAAGGGAGGGAGGAAGAGAGGGAGGCAGGGGAGGGAGGGAAGGAGGGAGGGAGGGAAGGAGGGAGGGAGGGAGATCTCAGCATTAAAAAAGAAATCAAAACATAAAATTAAAATCTCAGCATTAAAAAAACAAAACAAAAACAAATCATGTTCCACGAAATCCTGTTGCTCACAAACCTGAAATGTCAAGGTTTGCTGCTTGTTGAAAGTGATCACGGACTAGGCTTAATGTCTACACATGTTTTATGTAAGTTTTTTTTTTTTTTTTTTTCCTCTTTTTTAAAATGTCCGTCTTTTCAGATTGTTTGATCCAGGCACTAACCTGCTACTGTATACTGTTTTCTAACTAAACAAATAGAGAATAAAGATATAAGGAACTTGAGGAATAAGCCCAAGAGAGCACTGTGGTCTGGGGATACGGTTGGCATCCAGGGTTTCTGCTTTTTTATAGGCAGCTAATTCTTTTCTGCTGAATTGATCGCTGTTTCATGTCATGCTTCTCAGGAGTGTATGTAGCTGACGGGTGAGGTGCGGCTGGGCAGTGACTCCCTAGTGCTTCCTGCTTATTTCCGTTTTATTTGAAGCCAAGGAGGAGTTTGTTTTTGATGTGAGTCATATGCCCAGGACACTAATTCCAATCCATTCTCTTATCACCTCCCTGACCAGTTCCTAATCAGAATCTGTACCTCATGGAGGTTACAGGGATCCAAGGTCATGATAACTGAGGCTTGTACTGCATCTGGACTCAGAACAGAGCAAATGTGTGCCTGGTCTAAGTACTTCCGTAAAATACCCAGTGTCTTGGTGTCCTTCTGCAGCACAGTCTCTGTCGTCTTTGACATAAGTATCGAGATTATACACACATCACTGATAAGGGATAAAAGGCACCCTGGAAATCCGTAAATAAAGGACTAGCAGTCACGGCAGTGCACTGCATTGAGTCTGGTTTGGTTGGGTCTGAAACTGTACCTGAAATGGTTTCTTTAAGTATCTTGCTTTCTCTATTTCTCGATGTTTAATAAAGGAAGGGACACGGACATGTAGAGAAGGCTAAAATAAGAAATGCTGTGTGAGGCCATTTTTCCCCACACAAACCAAGAAAGAAATAAAGACCTTCCCTGCATGGACACCCTCTCTACTAAGAGTGTTCATGCTGCTCATAGCACTGAAGATTCCACATCCAGTGCTTTTTTTCAGTGTTTTCTTAGCTTTCAATGATGTACCTGTCAGTGTGATTATAGATTTAACCCTTAGGAGGGAATCTCTCCTACATTTTAGCATCGGAGACCTAGATTAAAGGCTGAGGAGAGAAGATTAAATGTGGCCAAGAGAGAGAAGCTTTTCTTTCTCATTCCGTCTGGTACAGCCAAAGGGGTAAGGAAGACGCGGGCTTCTCTTACGATAGATTGTGAGGCTGCAGTTTCTATGGTGACTGGTTTCTTTTTCCCTTATTCAGCAGCTAAATGCAGCAACATTCAAACACTTGTAGCTGAGTTTGGCCTTCAGGTGGGACACTTACATTCTCCAGGCATTTGCCTTAAGCCCATATATAGAGACAGAGCTTAATTTTTTCCCCAAGTCATTTAGCAGTTAATGTTTGTGGGATACATGATGGATATCTCCTTCTCATCATGTTATCCCCAAATGGCTTTGAAATAGAGGCTGTTGGCCGGGCACGGTGGCTCACACCTGTAATCCCAGCACTTTGGGAAACCAAGGCGGGTGGATCACCTGAGGTCAGGAGTTCGAGACCAGCCTGGCTAACATGGTGAAACCCTGTCTCTACTAAAAATACAAAAATTTCCTGGGCATTAGTGGCACGTGCCTGTAGTCCACCTACTCGGGAGGTTGAGGCAGGAGAATCACTTGAACCCGGGAGGTGGAGTTTGAAGTAAGCTGAGATCGCGCCATTGTACTCCAGCCTGGGCGACGAGGGAGAAACTCTGTCTCAAAAAAGAAAAGAAAAGAAAAGAAAAGAAATAGAGGCTGTTTTGATGGTAGGTGATTTTGTTAGCAGACTGGTGCATGTCCCTCTGTGATCTCGGTGCCATTGATTGAACTTGGGAGGTTTCTACCCCATGGCTGGAGCCGGGTCTGTTCTCTCAGGCATCCCCAGTGTCTGGGCCTGAAAGCATGGTTCTGCAGAGTACGTGCTCCCCTACCTCCTGTTGCCATTCCCGTTTCTTTACAGACTTGAAGAGGTTTGTTAAACAGAATCTCTTTGGGTGGAAAACCCCAGAGAAGTCCAGTTCGTTGAATACCCGTCCCTGGCAACATACAGAACTGCGAGGTGGGGTTCATCTGTGGGATCCTTTGCCTGTTCTGGGTACTTGAACTGAAGCACATGAATTCCATGGCAAAAAAGGACCAGCGGGGCCATCTAGTTTTTATGAGTATTGGAGAAAATCTTATAAGAGACACACTAAAGAGGGCAACATTGGTCAAACAATAAATGTAACTATAAAAATCGCAAAATCCAGATCTATACAGAGTTCGCCATCGCAGCTGCTTGATCACTGGGGCCTGAGCTCCGCTGTCTGCAGTCCGTTAGATAGCAACTTGCTTTTAATCCTAAACGTTAAGAATTTAAGAATTTAGTCAACTTTCAGTTATCTGCTCCGGGAGTTCTCACTCCCAAATGGCTTCTGCTTACCGCGGATAATTCTGGCTCTTGCCAGTTCCCGGGGAACTTGCAGGGAGGGTGAGATCATATTAGCATGAACTTAGCGTAATTGGTGTATGGGATTTGGAGGTGTGCAAAGGGGATACATCTCTTGTTTATAAAACTAGACACATTTCAAAGTGATCATTGTGCCTGATTTTTTATTTTTTGGGCCATTTTCTATTCCATTCTCTATTAATAAAAATAATTAAGAAAAGATTATAATTCTTTTATCTACAGAAGATCTTATTGTGGATTTAAGCCACGGTAAAATTGTTTGGAGGTGGCTCCCCCATCCCCCCTCCAAAAAACATTAAAAAACCACCAATCCTTTTGCAAGTTAGGCCACCCGTTTAAGCCCCGTAGTGCCTTTCATGAACAGACACTTGCTCCAGGGAGAAACCTGATGTAAAGAGAAGTTTGAGCTTCTCTCTTTTAACTTTAGGACTTCAGAGGTTTGAGAGCTAATGGAAAATGAGGACCCCATGTAATAAGGGGAGCCCAGTGGTGTGGCCATGCCACCGGGCCTTGCCCTTCAGCGCTGTCACCCCTGCCCCCAGGGAGGGCACACTGAGGAGGCTGGCCTACTTTGCTGGGTGTCAATAAAAGGTGTGGGGACTGTTCATTCCTGAGCTTTCTCTCTTCCGTCCTTCCGCCAGCCACCCTACTTTGAATCTGCCTGTCTCAATGACATAAAGTCAAGGATAAGATAAAATCTGCCTCCAGTTTTGTCGCCAGTGCCATTTATAACCAGAAAGGCCAGCACGAACATGTCAGATAAACCTTTACATGAATATATGATGTCCTGCACTTAACAACTTGATGAAAGGAAAGGCTCAGTTTAGGAGAGTGGAAACCTGCTTTAAAGCTCCTTAATATTTAACAAGATCTTGCACTTGTGGTGACCTGCAAAGTCTCTAGATCACAACAGGATTTATTCTTTTCCCTGCCGGCATCTGGATTCTCCTAAAAGTAAATCCATCCAGACATGCCTGCATACGTAACCCCCACCCGGCAAAGGGATCAGAACATTTGGTCATTTCGCCTGTGAGTCTGTACTGATTCATGCACTCCCTGATCCTCAGTCATTGCTGAGCATCCGAAGATTCTGAGAGACTGCAGGTCTATAAACAATGGGACAGGGAGCCAAGGCATGGCCAGAGTGTTACAAACCCTGGCTTTCTGTGTGATAAGCCACTCACCTTGAGGACGTTTTTGGAATATGCATTAACCTTTCAGACCTTTCGGGATAGCATAAAAAGGTACGAAGGAAAAACATAATTGAAGCCATAGATGAATCATAGGAACTCAAAAACCATTCTTCATTGGAAAGTGTTGCAGTGAATTGGTGAGCGTTTCTAGTGATTCGCACCCACGGGCTGCAGACCTTGTGCTGGGTACTGTGCATATACTATCTCACATCCCCACAGTAACCTGACTCGAGAGGCACAGGAGTCTTACTGGTTAAGTTCAGGAATTGCCAGGCTCAGAGAAGTTAATTTCTAGTCATACCTCATACAGAGAGACCATGGGTGAGCCAGGATGCACAGACGTACCTCAAACCCAAGGCCACACTTTTTTTTTTTTAATGTTTCTTTGTTAAACTGGGGTATTTAAAGACTGCGCAAACTCAGTATTATTATAACAAAGAACCAGAAAATGAATTCTGAGAGTATTCAGTGTTGCCTATTCAGTATGGTATTTGAACTGGAGTATGTTGCTCAACTCCTTATTACTCAGTTGCTTTTGACGAGGGCTCTCCTGGGATTTTGGCCAGGATGATTTTTTTATTGTACTAAGTGACAACTGCCCCTGCCCCTTGCCAAATAACTGTCTGCACTGGGGAATGTGGTAGATGCCGCCTGTGTAGAATTAGAACCAGTGGTGTAAGCCGGAAGAGTGGCCCCATTTTTCTTGTCAGTGATTGGCTTAGGGAGAGATTTGTGACCAATTTGGGTCAGTAATAAATGAGGACATCTGCTGGTAGTTTCTGGAATAGGTTTCCTTGCTTTGAAGAAGCAGCATAGGGAAGAGGGGGCCTTGCTCTGCCTGAGAGGCCTGGAGTTTCTGCAGCCATCTTGAGCCCACAAGGGAGGAGCTGGACTGGGGAAAGCTGTCATATTTAGGGTGTGGAAGGAGGAGGATGAAAAGAACCGAGGCCATTTCTGACATTGCTCATGGCTCTGTTCACCAGGCTTTTCTATTCACTTGCCTTTTCTCTGGACCCCTTTGCTGTGTGAGATAATGGATTTCCTTATGGTTTATACCAGGTCGAGTAGGGTTTTCTGTCTGGTCTTTGTGTGAGAAGGCCCTTTAATAGATAAAGGCTTCCTTGGGGACCAGTACCATTTCAGGTGACTGGTCTGCTTGTCTGTAGGTTGGAAATGATTGCTTACTCCTTGCAAACAGAGAACCCATTGCTGCCATAGTGGTAGTAGGCAGTGGGTTAAGGAGTACTTGAGTTATTGTTATTGTCCTGTGCATGCAAAGCACCTCTTGTACCACCATATTGTGGTCACCATTGTTTATGGTTATTGCTGTCATTCATAACAGCATCTTTGAATCTTATACACTAGACATTCAAAGTGGAGGCAGTGGGAGGGTAACAGCAGCACCAGGTCTGCAGTGTAGACTGGCAGCACCGGGTCTGCAGTGTAGACTGGCACAAATGTAAGTGTGAATTTCCAGTTCTTGCTGAGACAGCATCAGAGTGAGTCAAAATTAACAGGGTTGGTTGGCACTGCTGATCACACCAAGGGGCTGAAGGGTGGGTACTAGAGTGAGTTAATGCTGGAGACAGAGGCAGAGAGAATCCACTGATGCTGAGGAAGCTCATCAGAAGTGTAGGGGGAGGAGACCACAAGGTCAGGTGTCTCATCAGCGATACCTGACTTCTCTCTTAACCGAATCTGAATCAGTGGTCCTCAACTCAGGGGCCAGGGGCATGTGCCCTTCAGTGGACATGTGGCAAAGCCAGGAGACATTTCAGTTGTCCCAGGTGGGGGATGCAGTCAGCATCTAGTGGATAGACCCCAGAGATGCAGTTGCAACATCCTACAGTGGCAGAACAGCCCCCCAACAAAGATTCTGGCCCCCAAAGGCCAATAGTGTTGAGGCTGACCATCCCTGTTTCTCACCTGGAAGTGGTTGATGGAGGGAGCCGAGGGCAGCTGGGGTGTGAGGAAGGCTCTGGAGACTGAAGCTGTTATTAGATCCAGTCCAGGCTGCTTGGCAGTGGGCACTTTCCAGTGGGGAGGCTTCCCACTTGTGGCAGAGCACGTAGAGGGGTTTGCAAGCTCTCTGTGTTTACTGGCCTCCACGTTGGTGTCTGGGAAGGGCAAAACAGAAGCTCAGACTGCTGGGTGGAGAAGTTTTGCGCCTTCCCAGCTCTTGCTTCTTTCTGTGAAGCATGCTGGCGTCATGTTTCCATGACAGCAGTTGAGTTAATGCATTTAGGGGCCCCCTCAGCGTCCACCACATCCTGCCTGTTGTAAATTGTGTGGTTCAGGTTGTGATCTATGATACTACGGTCCTAAATTTCTCATTACTATTTTTTAACTTGATTGAATGCACAGCTACTAGACAAAATCGCTCTTTACCTCTGTAAGTAAAAAATAGAAATGCTTATTAGTGTTCAGCAATAGATTTTAAAATTACATTTTTGTTACAAATACTTCACTGGCTAAATTGAAATCAGTGTGATCAAATTGAAATGTCATAATACTATTGATTTAATAAATGCTGGCCTCCTAATATCTGTTTTTCAATGAAACTAGTATTACGGGAGTAATTTTCTAATGAACATCTGAGCACTAGGTCATTGGTAAAACAAAAGAAGAATGATATCATAAATGGTTCTGGATGGTTTTTTCAGCGGGACCTGGCATGCTGATACGAATAGAGGAATTAAAGCGTAGCTCATTATATATTAATTTGAATGTAATACTAACTAAAACCTTCCATTGACTTCACTGAAGCCTAGTCTTAGAAATTATGCAGATTAATGGAGGCCTTGAAAAGAAGCACATGCAATATTTGAGTTCCCTTTGGACCAAAAAACTGGCATGTTGGAACTGAAAAAATTATATACTGTGCAGTATTTTTGTGTAAGTACAATACACTAAAAGATTTTGTTGCTTAAAAAAACTGGGCAGGGTGAATCCTATATCTGTTTTTTGTCTATTTTATTTTATATCCAAATAAGCCGAAAGGAAGAAGCAAAGGACCGAAGGTTGACACTGAGATTGCTGCTGCAGAGGGAGAATTTCCTGCAGCTTTTGATTGTGGAACTCAGGTTAAGAATGTGGTTCCTGGAGCCAGGCACGGTGGCTCACGCCTGTAATCCCAGCACTTTGGGATGCTGAGGCGGTTGGATTGCTTGAACCCAGGAGTTTGAGACCAGCCTGAGCAACATGGCAAAACCCCATCTCTACAAAAAATACAAAAAATTAGCCAGGTATGGTGGTGCACACCTGTCGTCCCAGCTACCCGGGAGGCTGAGGTGGAAGTATTGCTGGAGCCTGGGAGGCGGAGGTTGCAGCAAGCCTTGATTGCATCATTGCACTTCAGCCCGGGTGGCAGAGACCCTACCTCAATGAAAAAAGAATTTGGTTTCTGCATAAGGATGATTTCACTGCCTTTTTTGTTTTTACATGAAAATCCTCACCAAGTACATTTTAATTTTGTTGTATTAATTAATGAGAACTTGTTCTCCCCTGTGCCTCATCTTTCACAATTTTATATCATGTGAGATGTATTTATCTAATAAAGTGGCGATGGGAAGAGGCATTAGCTATTTTCGGAGTCTGTGATAGCCACATAGTGACATTTTAAAAGCATAAGCTTCGGTTCTTCAAGCCCCTCAAGTAAATGTGGAGATGAGTCAAGTTCAGGCAGGCCCAGCAGACATGAATGTTCTTTCTTTTCTGTCTTCTCTTTCTCCTGTCTCTCTGTTAGTAATACTCTCCATTGCTGTCTGTAGATTAATACTCACAGCCACGTGTATACTGTATTTTATAAAGAACTTTGCTGTTCACCCTGAAGCTTTGGCACCTGCCAGAGACATGAGTTGCTGCTGACTCATGATGACTATATCCAGGCAGGTGTGTTTCTCCCGCAGCGATGGTTCACTCCTCCTGAATCAGGTGCTGTCCCTTTCCAGGCACAGCAACCACTGGCAAGGCAGGGACTTCATCAGAGGCAGATGTTGAAAGTGGTGGGTGACCGTGGGTAGTGAGTGCACCCAGGGCAGGCTCTGACGTTGTGGGATCCTCCTGACCCCTGTTTTAAGTGAAAAAAGTGAGACATAAGCCAAAACTATAAAGTCAGGACACCAAGATATTGCAGTTTGTCCATACTCCTTTTTCCAGCGTGATACTCTACTTCCTGTTTCTCACTGTACAGTTTTTTCTTTTCTTTTCTTTCCCCTCCCCTCCCCTCCCCTCCCCTTCCCTTTCCAACGGAGTCTCGCTCTGTCACCCAGGCTGGAGTGCAGTGGCGTGATCTCTGCTCACTGTAACTTCTGCCTCCGGAGTTCAAGCCATTCCCCTGCCTCAGCCTCCGCAGTAGCTGGGATTACAGGCGCCCACCGCCACGCCCAGCTAATTTTTATATTTTTAGTAGAGATGGGGTTTCATAATGTAGGCCAGGCTGCTCTCAAACTCCTGACCTCAGTGATTTTCTAAGTAAATTTCCAGCTTCTCAGGGTCAGCAATCACATCAACTACTTTCCTGTGCGTCCATCATAGGATGGTGCCTGTCACATAGTGTTTAAAATACCAGTCCCAGGCTGGGGTTGGTGTGGACTTTGCAGCCAGCCACGTGTACTAGATTAACCACGTTGGTCAGAGTAACCTGTCTTGGTTAACATCGATAACATCGCATGGAAGTCGGTATCGATGGAGGATAATTGATGAAGCACTGTGGACATTTTGCTGCACATATTTCCTAAATCTTCATTGCTTACTGTATAAACACACAAAAGTAGTCATGGTATTTGTTAATTGTTGATGAAGGTTGTGACTGGCTGTAGGTAAACATTTTGGAAGTAATTTTTAGGACTGGAATGCACTCACATGCTTTTTTCTTAAGCCACTGAAAAGTGCGAGGAATTAACAGCAAAACTTGGAGGTTTTAAGTAAATGATCAGTGTTAGTAGCTATCACTTTTTAACTTAGCAATAGCTCTCTTTGAAAGAAAATTCTAGGGGGCTTTAAGTAGGTTGTAGGTTGTAGTGGTATTGTTTGCTTGTACTAATTATTGATTTTTTAAAAATCCTTTTTGGTCTTTGTTCCGTGGTCTGTTATATAACCTGGTGGCTAGAGGGTGGGCTCAGACTGAATCAGGCTGCTTGGGTTTGAAGCCTGGCTTCTCTTGGTAGCTGTGTGCCCTTGCTTAGATAACTTCATCTCTCTAAATCTTAATTTCCTCCCACAAGAGGGATTCCACCCCACAGTCTGTGTCAGCAGAAAATGACAATGCAGGGAGCATGCCTGCCAGTATTTACAACATGTTAGCTGTTTCTGTCCACTTGATATTACAGCCTGAGCATCTCTTATCCAAAATGCCTGGGACCAGACGTGTCTCTGGGTTCAGATTTTGGAATATTTGCAGTACATTTGTCTGTTGAGCATCTGAAAACCTGAAATCGAAAAGGCTCCAATGAGCATCTCATGTGAGCATCTTGTTGGCCCTCAAAAAGTTTCAGGTTTGGGGCTTGGGATTTTCAGAGTTGGGATTCCAGTTTGTATACACAGAACCTAGTTAGTCTCAGCACAGAGTTACTACATCTTAGTAGGAGAGTGAGAACTGCTCAGGCTCTGGAGGGAATAAAGCTGATGAAACCAGGGTGCAGAAAGGAAGTTGATGTAGATAGAACCACTTTTACCACGTCAGTCTGCTGAAAATAAGGTTCCCTGAAGAGACATTGCCACAGTAGCCTGTGAAGACAGTCTTCCAATAAAATGAATGGCATTTTACTTTTGATCAATATAAAACTACTTTAGGGCAAAAATAAAAATGGGTAGTGATGAATGTAGATGGGAATGACATTGCTGGCATTTATTAAAGGAGAGCAGTTTTTCTGTACGCAATTTGACCAGACTCCAGTACTCTGAAGTAAACAGTATTTCTTTAATGTGACAGGCATATTTGTAAATCTACTAAGGACTTAGTAATATATCCTGATAACGGGAATAACATCATTCTTGATCCAATAATTGCAAAGTGTGAATGATTCTCTAGAGCTTTGCAAAGGCCAAGAATGTCTCTTTCAAATGACAGTGAATTTTCCATTATCTCTTAGTACATAATCGGTTTGGCGAATTGTCTTCAGGACCCAGGAACTCTCTCTGTCCTTGACATTGAGGATGATGAGTTGGGTGTTTGTGTAAATGAATGCATGCCCTCCGACTGCATTAACAGCCCAAAGTAAGTGGTCTGGGGTGATTAGATTTGTTTTTCAATGAGAATAGCTGCATCTTTTCTCATATACTAATATGGATGGACATTTACACCACAGAACTCAGCAGTTCTGTCTGTTGGCTTATTTGGAAATTCGCTGGTGTTGAATTCTTCAATTATCATAAAAACTTGTTATTCCTTAGGAGTGTCAAGTGACTAGTTTTGCCTTTTAGATCATATTTCAGTGCTTCCATCCAGTATCCAGAGCCCAGTCTCCATGCATAAATCCACTGTGCCACCTTCCCAGAATCTTTTTTTTTAGACGGAGTCTTGCTCTGTTGCCAGGCTTGAGTGCAGTGGCTCGATCTCTGCTCACTGCAACCTCCACCTCCCGGGTTCAAGCGATTCTTCTGCCTCAGCCTCCTGAGTAGCTAGGACTACAGGTGTGCACCACCATGCCCAGCTAATTTTTGTATTTTTTTTTCTTTAGTAGAGATGGGGTTTCACCATGTTGGCCAGGATGGTCTCGATCTCTTGACCTCATGATCCGCCTGTCTCAGCCTCCCAAAGTGCTGGGATTACAGATGTGAGCCACCGCGCCTGGCCCCCAGAATCTTTTATCATCATGAGTCACATGATTTTCGTCTTCCAAATTAAGCTTCACTCCTATAAATCCTTTGACTACTGTGATCGTAGTGATACTTGGTTTTTATATGCTAGAAGTAAAAAAATTTGTTTTGAAGTTCCTTCTCAGTCTGGATCTTCCATAGCTGTTCTTGCCTCTCTTTTCCTTCTCCCTTTGACAAATGGAGGGTGTTCTGTGTATTCCATGCAATAGCTGTTAGTCTCCTGTGCGGTGCCTCAGTGGTTTCTGATCAGTGCTTATTGGATGAATGATAGAATATAGGATCGGAATGGATGTCAAGACATCATTGGGTTTTTGTCATCCCTTCAGTTTAATTCGATAAATATTTATGGAAGCCTTTCTTGGGTGAGCCACGTAGCATAAATGAGGGAGTTTGGCATTTACTGGAAAGTTCTGCACATACAGCATGGATATCTTTCATGTTTTTTAAAGTTCTCCAATGGCCAGAAGTTTCAGTGGCAAACCCCGTCAGAAAATATTGTCACGCTCTTGCAGTAAAACGTTTCTGAAATCGTCATTCATCAATAATATAAACATTAGAGTAGCAGGTTTAGCCAAACTCTTAATTGTTTTGTCTTTATTCTTGAGTCTTCTCAATTTCCGTTACGTTGACTTAGCTTTCAAACTGGTGGGATTTCTATATGGTCATAGAGGGATTTTTTTTTTTTTTTTTTGGTTGTTGATTAGAAAGTGATTTTCAGAAAGTGAAAGTTAGGGCTGGAAGATACAGCAATGCATTTTATAGTTTCCAAATTTATTTCTGAAATACGGAGTTGAAGTTCAGTAGGATAAGATATGTGGCTATTTGAGGCCAGACTACAAATACCTGTGTTTGGATGCTGCAACCTCTCAGAATGTCTGGCTTCTCTTTTCAGTATATGAAACAAGAGTGTTTAAGGGGTTTTGTGTAGTTTGGAAGGAAAAACAGATGCATTTCTGTGAGTAAGAAGTGTCTTGACTATAACTTACGAACTGTTTTTACCCACAACACTTCTAACATCACATGTGTGGGTTTTTTCCACACCAACCAGTTCTTCAACTCTCTGGACAGCAAGTGAATATCCTGCAGTTTAATTCATTTCTGACACTGTCTGAAAGCAGTGCAGACCCCACAAGTGAAGGGCTCGGTACCATAAGATGCCTCCACTTTGATGCCAGTTACAAGTCCTGGGCTTCCTGTACTTGATGGCTATAAATTAGGGTTCCTGAAACCCCCTCCTTGGATTTGATAGTTTTCCAGAAGGCCTCACAGAGCAGTTTCCTTACTATTACCTGTTTATTGTAAAGGGTACCATACAGGATGCAAATGAACAGCCAAATGGAAGAGGTGCCCGGGGTGAGGGCTGGAAGGGGGTCCCAGGCACAGGGGCTTCTGGCCCTGTGGAGTTGGGGTGCCCCCACCTCCTGGCACATGGAAGTGTTCATCAACTTGAAAAACCCCAACTCTGTCATTTAGGGTGTTCATGGGAGTTTCATTATGTAGGCACGATTGATTAAATCTTTGGCCATTGGTAATGAGCTCCATATCCAGCTCTTCTCCCCTCCCTAGTGGGTGTGGGGTGGAAAAGAACTTACAACCCTCTCTAATTATGCCTTGGGCTTTCTGGACACGAGCCCCCACCCTGAAGCTGTTTAGGGTCCCATCAAGAATGGACCCATTAGAACAAAAGAGCTCCTATCACCTGGGAAATCCCACAGGATTTAGGAGTCCTATACCAGGGACAAAGACCAATATACATTTACCACACAGCTGAAACCTGGGAGAAATAATTTAAGTTGTAGGAGATCTGAGCCAAGACTGACAGAGGGGAAACTAGTTTCTAAAATTTTTGGAATAATGCTCACTGAGCATTATTCTTAAACTGTTTAAGAATATTTTAATGTCATGCTATTTTTATTTTCATCCCGCATCCACCATGCTTGGTTTTGATGTTTTATGTTCATTGTTATAGATGAGCAAAGATGGGAAGTTTAATGATGGACGTTCGAGCACAGGACACTCTGGGAGAAAAGGAAGAGATTGTGTGTTGTCTGCAGGAAGTGGAAGTGATCCCCTCTTAACCTAGAGATGTAATTAGATGCAGAGGACGCTGAAGTCATTACCCATAAGCATTTCCAATACAGTCCGCAGCCCTGAGTGGATAGGGTTATCTCAGGGACACATTGCTGTCTGCTGTATTTCCAAGCAGCGGCAGCCACTGCCTGGTGTCTGCTAGATGACTGTGAACACAGGAAGTCCTCAGAGAGGGCAGGGCTTCTGGGGACACAGAGTTTCCACACAGCACGGGGAGCTATGATTGACAGAGCTTCCCAGAGGACTTGGAGTATGAGATAAAAGATGGGTGTGGATTTGGCTAAAGACTCCAAGTCAGCGGTCAAGGTCAGGTTGAGGGCCTGCGATGTAGAAAGGGCTTAGGGTTATGGGTAAACCCTGCTTAGAAAGCTGACTCTACTCAGAGAGCAAAGGTTGGAGCAAGCGTTTTGTGGAACAGAGAGAAGCACAGAATCTGGAATGGAGGGAATGAAGAGGGCGGGTAGACCAGAAGCCCCGTGGCTGTCAGGATGCCTCTAGAGCAGAGACTCTCAGGAAAGCCGGGGTGATAGAGGCAGCCAGGGAGAAGACCCATGCTTGTCCCCGTGCACCAGACCTCAGGAATGCCTCACCCTGTGCCTGTGGCTGGTGAGGGGCAGGCTGCAGGAGGAAAGGGGTCCTGCACAGAGAAGGAGGCTCCTGAGAAACACTGACATTCATCTGTTAGCCATCACTTATAGTTATGAATGTGCCGGGAGTGACTGAGGGCACCTCTGAGTTGTCAAACAGCATAATAATGACTGCTTAGACTTGCTGAGTACATTCAGGCTACGCTTTATTATTTCATAATTCTATAATAATTCCCCTTTTCCAAAGATGAAAGGGTTTATACTTAAATGGGGAAGGATATTTACCTGCAAAAGCTGTGATCGGGACTCATTTCCCGCTGATGGGTACTGGGGACATGGTTGTCTGACAGGAACGTTCACTTTTTGAGATGGAGTCTCACCCTGTCACCCAGGCTGGAGTGCAATGGTGTGATCTCGGCTCATTGCAACCTCTGCCTCCCAGGCTCAAATGATTGTCCTGCCTCTGCCTCCCGGGTAGCTGGGATTACAGGCTTCTGCCACCACATTCAGCTATTTTCTGTATTTTTAGTAGAGACAGGGTTTCACCTTATTGGCCAGGCTGGTCTCGAACTCCTGACCTCGTGATCTGCCTGCCTCAGCCTCCCAAAGTGCTGGGATTACAGGCAGGAGCCACTGCGTCCAGCCCACTTTTAATCTTTTTTTTTTTTAATGTTTAATTTTTTTTATTGGTACATAATAGATGTACATACTTTGGGGTACATGTGATTAATACATTCATATAATTTGTAAAGATCAAATCAGTATAATTGAGATACATATCACCTTAAATATTTGTCTTTTCTTTGTGCTAGAAACATTCAAATTAACTTTGAATCTTTGAATTCGGATGCTAGCAAGTCAATGTTGGTTTAGTTGTGATGGCGCCTCACCTGTGGCTTCTGGCCCTGCCTGGACATGATGGCTGGTGTGTGTTAATCCACATTCGCTCTCTGTACAGTAGCCTTTGATTCCTTCTGTTTCCTGATTTGCTTTCCCCCAGCCACCTTTAAAAATAAATGTTTTGAAATCAAAACCACAAGGAGATACCGTCTCACACCAGTAAGAATGGCTGTTATTAAAAAGTCAAACAAATAACAGATGCTGGTGAGGCTGTGGAGAACAGGGAACACTTACACACTGCTGGTGGGAATGTAAATTAGTTCACTCACTGTGAAAGCAGTTTTGAGATTTCTTGACTTAAAACAGCTACCATTCAACCCAGCAATCTCACTGGTGGCTGTATACCCAAAGGGAAACACATCATTCTATCAAAAAGACACAAGCACTCACACATTCATTGCAGCATTATTCACAATAGCAAAGGCATGGAATCAACCTAAGTGCCCATCAGTGATCGACTGGATAAAGAAAATGTGGTACATATATACCATGGAATATTGCATAGCCATAAAAAGAATGCAAGTATGTTCTTTGCAGCAACATGGATGGAGCTGAAGGCCGCTATTGTTAGCAAACTAATGCAGGATCAGAAAGCCAAATACCTCATGTTCTCGCTTAGAAGTGCGAGCTAGACCTTGAGCACACACGGATGTAAACATGGGACCAGTAGACACTGGAGACTACTAGAGGGGAGGGGGGAAATGAGTCATGGGTCGAAAAGTTACCTATTGGGTACTATGTTCACTACCTGAGTATAGTATGCCCATGTAACAAACCTGTGTATGTACCCCTGTATCTAAAATAAAACCTAAAAATAAATAAATTAAAGGCTTTGTTTGCAACATAAACAATGCACATCATCACCTGCACCTAATTTCCTTGTACTTTTCCTTCTGCATATAATTTTTATAAAGTGTGGATTGTAAGTTCTTAAGGAATTTGTAAATATTTAGAGTGGCCAGTTCCTTTGATTGGGTTTTGTCGTATTTGACCGCATCCTGTCTTGTTCTGATTAATGTCCTCTTTGGACATGGCCCCAGCATTCATCATGCATCCCCCAAAACAGAGACCTTTGCCGACTGCCCTGGGGACATGAAAAATGAAAGGGTCCATGCAGTTCTATAGGCGTTTACATTCTGTTAACCTTGGCAACTCGGTGCACTGGTGGAGAGTTTTATAAGCAGTTCTTCTAGTCTGATCTCCTCTTGGACGCTGACGGTACTGACCAGCTTTTGGGGGCTTTGGGGAAACAGGCACTGCCCGACTGGGCTCTGTGCAGTCCTCAGAGTTGGATATAGAGTGGCGTCGTTGGAGTAATTAAAAACCCACTTTAGATTTGCAGGTAAAAGAAAGTAACAGGTCCCCAGATATTTTTGTACTTCACACCCAATTGATGTATTTGGAAATCGCAGGATTTATTTGCAGGTATTATTTCCTCAGGGACAGACTGCAAATACATTCATTTATCCACTGCTGTTTATCCAGACTGTGAGTTATGAGGTGACCTCCATCTCCGCAAGATAAATTCTGGTATCCAGAGTCCAGCCAACCTCCTCTATTGCTGTGTAGCTGAAGTGGATATTGAAATTTGTTATCTTAGGAGGCGGGAAAGCCCCATCTCTCTCACATAAGGTTGCTGTAAGCAGGTTATAAAACTGCCAGACCCCTATTAGGAATGGGGTGTTGCTCACCTTTATTGAGTAGGAGACAGGTTCTAATCGTCTGTGGGGCAGGTTTGGATTCTTACCTGCAGGCATCTCTAAGATCATGGGATCTTGAGTACCCCTACCCTTACTCGTGCCGGTGAGCTGTGTGCCAGCTTACTTCTAGTAACTGGTAAGCTGTGTGCTCTTAGACACGGGAGGTGGTGGCAGACCTTGGGTACAAGGTGCTGACTGAAGCCCTGAGATGTGACTCCAGTAGCAAGAGACCTGGTGTTTTCTGAAGACACCCTGCTGTGTTAGGATGACAGATTGCCTCCCTTACTCTGCTGTGCTTCAGTTAATAGCACCAAGGACGAGCAAAGCAGTGTCATGTGAACTTTTGCTTAGTGTAAATTTAAGCATGGCCAGGAAGCCTTGTTGCCTCTCCCTTGGAAAAGCAATTTAGCCTGCAGAAAATAATTAAATCCGTGGTATCTGGCAATAATTAGAAATTCGAAACAGGGAAGGTTAATTGTCTCCATAAGATTTTGGTTGCCCAATAAAATGCTCCAGGAGCGCATCCGGACAGTGGCTGAGGTCATTTACAATACCGTGGCTTTCAATATTTTCATCTTTCTCCCTGCAGGATCACGCAGATTTGCGAAGCCATTTCTTCACAGTTGGGATGAAGCTTGAGACAGTGAATATGTGCGAGCCCTTTTACATCTCTCCTGCGTCGGTGACTAAGGTGGGTTTTCCTCCCTCGCTCTTCGACCCAGCCCCTAGAGTGGATCAAATTAAGCCTTTCAACTCAAAGACGACCAGATGACATATGTTCGTGCAAGGCTATCAGCAATGCCAGGCGAAGCTAAGGAAGATTGCCGCCCTTCCAGTCCAGCGCTGCTTTAAGCTGTTTTTATTACTGGTGGCACAGAGTGACTCTAATCAGATGCCCCCTCTTATCATGGATAGGGTGAATTTTCCTTGTCTTCTGATAGTTGTCCACTGACGAGTTGCAGGTTGTAATCATTACAAGAGTAATTTGTTCTTCCTGCATGGGTAGTAGTAAATATGATCTGTTTATACTTGGAAAATACATGAAAATGGTGCAAAGCAAATTCTCATCTCCCTTTTCTCAGCATTTCTGTGTTTTTTCTCATCTGCCCTTGTTGACTAAAGAAAAACTCATGCTTCTAAGATCTACAGATTCACAATAAAATTACCTTTTAACATAAAGACATTTTTATAATGATCTGTTAGTCCTTGAAGATTGTAATATCCCAGCAGGTCATGGTGGCTCATATCTATAATCCCAGCACTTTGGGAGGCCAAGGTGGAAGGATCCCTTGAGCCCAGGAGTTCAAAACCAGCCTGGGTAACATAGGGAGACCCTGTCTCTACAAACAATAAAAAAATTTTAAAAACCAGTATAATATCCATTCCCCATTAAAGAAGTTTTAATGACATAACCTCTGGTAAAATCAAAATTGCTTGTTTCTACCTTAAGTATTCTCTTACAAATGGTGCGGGAAACTTAACATTCTTGGCCGATGTGTGTTTTGGTGAATGGTCTTTTGTGTACTTCACTAGGAGAATTTAATTAAAGATTTAAATCTGTTTTAATTTCTTTTTCTTAAAGATACGGGATTTTCTTTAAGGAAAATCACTTTTCATGCAGTGATTAGTGTTTGTTACTTGAGTCATGAGTTTTTAAAAATTTATGATTTGGTAACACTTGAGGAATTTAGTAGTGTGATAATGTATTACAGAATATGGAAATTGGTTATAAAAATGAAATGCTTTCTAAATGTTTTTTCTTTAGTGAACATAAATTATTTTTATAACCATTAAAGTAGCTTATTTCAAGGATAACTTTCGGAGCTGGGCACAGTGACTCATGCCTGTAATCCTGGCACTTTGGGAGGCTGAGGTGGGATGATCACCTGAGGTCAGGAGTTTGAGACCAGCCTGGCCAACAGGGTGAAACCCCGTCTCTACTAAAAATACAAAAATTAGCCAGGTATGGTGGTGCATGCTTGTAATCCCAGCTTCTTGGGAGGCTGAGGCAGGAGAATCGCTTGAACCTGGGAAGCAGAGGTTGTAGTGAGCTGAGATCTTGCCACTGCACTCCAGCCTGGGCAACAAAGTGAGACTCCATCTCAAAACAAACAAACAACAACAAAAACAAAAAGAAACTTTAAATATTTAAGGTTATTTAAAGAAAAATATATTGGCTTTTGCTTTATAATCTGGAGGTTGAAAGTCATGTATTCCTGATTAGCATCCGTTAAAAACCTTTTATTTGAAATGGCCTTTGGAGTTCTTTACTGTGTATCCTGTCAGTTGTCGGATATTTTTCCAAAATGGACCAGTGGTGCCCTGTTGAATCCCAGCCAGAATTCCCCTTTGTTCTGTTAGTGGGTGCTGCAGTCATGCCGGCTGCCCATCTGTCTGCAGATGTATCACGCTACAGAGTCGCTTCACCTGGTATTTATCAATTAAACTCAACAGACTTGATGTGCATAGCCTGTCAGCGGTAGCGTCTCTCACCATTCTTTTTTTTTTTTTTTTTTTTTTGAGATGGAGTCTTGCTCCGTCACCCAGGCTAGAGTGCAGTGACATGATCTCGGCTCACTACAACCTCTGCCTCCCGAGTTCAAGCTATTCTCCTGCCTCAGCCTCCCGAGTAGCTGGGATTATAGGCGCCTGCCACCACGCCTGGCTAAATTTTGTGTTTTTAGTGGAGATGGGGTTTCACCGTCTTGACCAGGCTGGTCTCGAACTCCTGACCTTGTGATCTGCCCGCCTCAGCCTCCCAAAGTGCTGGGATTATAGGCGTGAGCCACTGCACCCGGCCTCTCTCACATTCTTATGCCTTTAAATAATTCTTATGCCTTTAAATAGTTGTAATATGTCATGTTAGAATGTGTCTACTAATCAAAATTAATTTCAGCCCAAATCTCTTTTTCTAGCTGAATAGACTTCCAGTGATAGTTGGTTTTTCACAGTAAATAATTTTCTCTAAATAGATCTTATTGAGGGGAGGGAGAAAGTATTTTTACTGATTTCTAAACTGTGTTTTCCTTTTTATTTTGCTTTTTCTTACCCTTTGTAGCAAAGATAAAATAAGTCATGCCGTTTCGTATACACCCCTCCTCTTATTGACCATGTTTTGTATAACACATGGATTGGGGTATGTGCATCTGTCTTTTAGAACCTAGGTAGGCACCTCTCCAGGTTCAAGACTCATCTTCATGTAATGAGGTATCAGAATACTCTTAGCGTAGAAGATATTTATAATAATTAAATGTATTTCTTTAAATATGAGGAAAGTACTTTGGAATATTATGTTTGAAAATATAACACACTGTGCTGTCATTACTCATCACAATGAAAATTTCATTTTTTTTCCACCTTGGGCCTTTTCTTCGTGGCATAACTGTTGAAGAAATATGTAAACGATGTTACAACAAACAGACAAGGATGCAGACAGACGTGTAGTGGATCCAGTATTAAATGATGAACCTCCAGCAGTCCAGCCAGGGTGTGTTTTTGGTGTTGAGATACTGGCAGATGGTGATGATGTCATCTTTGTAAGCGAAGTGTGTTGTATTGATTAGAGGAAAGGATACTGGCATTAGAAGCCTTGGGTTCTGTTTCTGTTTCTGCCATCTCTTAGCTGTGCAGTCTTGGGCAAGTCAGTTAACTGCTCTGGGCATTAGTTCTGAGTCCTGTGGGTTATGGACTGGATAGAGCACAAAACAGTGCTTCAGACCATTTAGGAACATGAGCCCTGATGGATTTGATGAAACTTACTAAGCTTTTCCTTTGGAGTGTTCCCACGTGAACATGCATTTTAACGGTTGTGGAAATTCCTTCTTTACAGGGTACCGCAGCTCCACCAAAATCACATGCTCTTTATATACGTATGTGTGTGTATGTGTATATATGCAAGATAGACTAAATAACAGTAATTTAACAGATATTTATTGAGCATTCATAGGCTCAATTCTGGACAATGTTCCCATTGTGGAGCTTTTATTTTAATGGAGGGAGACAGACTATAAACAGAATCAATAAGTAAATAAATCTAGTATGTTACATATTAAATGCTAAGGAGAAAAATACACCAAGGCAGGGATGTTGGGGTCCTGGGACTGTGCCCCCCGGTAGCAGTGAGGACCCCAGGAGGCCTTGGTGTTAGTTTCCCTGTTGGTAGGCACTTGGCTTTGCACCCTGAGCCAGATCGCCGTGCATCAGTTTTCAGGACTGTCCAGTGGAGTCCAGGTGCCCAGCAGAGTGAAAATGATAGAAGTCAAAGGATTTTCATAATCCTTTCAGGTGGTGGGAGGATGAGATTCTCAACAGGGCTCTCGGACATGACCTCACTGGGAAGGCCCCATCTGATCCTTTGTTGCTTGAAGTTGACTTTCACAGGCAAACCTTCAGTAAACTATTTACCAAAATTAGCACAGGCAAGAACAGAAGTGAATTTCCTTTCCTGCTTCACTTTGAACTAAATTGCTTCCAGAAAAAAAATGAAGGGGCCAGGAATCATAGCTTTGTAAAACTCTCAAGGTTTCCTAAGAAAGACTGGGTTATGTCTGTTGAATTGGGAAAGGGATCTTTTTTTCTGGCCTGTTTTAGATACTAAGTTACTTAAATCCATCTTGCTTTTCAGTGATGGTCCATCTGATTTTTACCCTCTGCTTTGTTTATCGGCATGTCTTGTTCTTATTTCTTCATTGATGTTTCTTCTTATATTCAGTGGACATTTATCCCGTTCCTATGTACAAAGCACTTTCTATGCATTTGGAAATACTTGTGTTAACAAAAAGACATCACTCTCCTCTAATAACTTATGCTCTATGGCATTGGAAGACTGATGTGTAATCGGTCTAGGAAGGAATGAGAGTTTTCAATACAGAAGTTGAAGTCTGAAATTTTAGGAGCGCAGAGTGAGGGCGGTTTATTCCAGCCAGATCAGAAGCATTGAAATATGAGATGTACCTTGAAAACGCACTGTGTTTTGATAGCTTAAACATGGCATTGGGGGTTGTTGTAGTCCATGAGGCTTAGTGTGAACGATTTCCTCTCGGGCTGGAGGGTGGGGTGTTCTGAGGGAAAAGGTGCAGGAGGAGGCTAGAAAGCTCCAAGCCAGATCTTGGAGATTCTTGAGTGATCTGGTGTAAAGAGTTTGGTGCTGGCTGTGGACACTGAGAAACGGTTTCACTTTTCAGTTCCTGTCTTGGCTGTCATCTAAGCTGGGGTTTGTCTGTCTGACTTCCTCCATTCATTTTTCTTCAAGCTATAGCCATTGGTTGACTTCTCTAAGTCTTTGATTTTGTTCATTCTCACTCTTCCAGATAACCTAGTTATTTATCTTTTCATTAATAGGACCACAGCAGTCAATTCTAACTTTTTATCAGCTGAATTAATTTAGTAATGGACATTGAAAATGCCAGTTTGTATTCAAATCATTTTGATGAACTATATTAATTGCCTTTGGAAGCTCTGCCACTATTTTATACTAGCATTATATGTAACTCTAAAGAATTAACCTTTGGCTCCCCCATTTTTTTTCTTTTAGGTTTTTAACAATCACTTTTTTCAAGTGACTATTGATGACCTAAGACCTGAACCAAGTAAACTGTCAATGCTGTGCCATGCAGATTCTTTGGGGATTTTGCCAGTACAGTGGTGCCTTAAAAATGGAGTCAGCCTCACTCCTCCCAAAGGTTTGTATTCTGTGAAGGTATGCAGGGTCTGGAGATTCAGGAGGGTGTCTTACTGTCATTGAAGTAACACCTGCATTAATCTGGGGAGGCTGGTTGTGTAAAGGGTTTAGATGTAGTAGAAATAGGGCGTTCTTCATCAGCTTGACATAGGTGTCAGTTACAGCTCCATCCCCTGGCGAGGCGAGTGGCCTTGGGCTTCTCACTTCTGTCCACAGGAGTTTCCCCATCCGTTACCGCATTATTGGCAGATGTGCTGCTATTGTGTAGACTTAGAGGGTGCAGCATTGCTAAGTGATTGAGCTCAAAGACTTGAAAGTGTCTGAGAAGTGGCTTTACAAATGTAACACAATGTTGGTGAAGCATTTCTTTAGAGTGTTTATTTCCAGCGAGCTAAGCTTTCTCCAGAGTCAATTTGCTTTCAGATATCCGACAATTAGATGCTATAATACTTTAAAATAATTACACTGGGAGCCAGGATGCATTAAAATAATTTTAAATTGGGATTCAAGAACCACATTGTTAGTGAATGCCAGTCTTAGAGTTTACCAGTGTGGTTTGTTGTCCTCTATAGGTCAGGTTTATTCAGGAAGAAAGCAGTAAGATGAGAGGTGAGACTAAGAGAAGAATAATAAAGGTATAGTAAGAAGAAGAAAATTGGAAAAAGATGAGAAAAGTAAACTTATTGGGGAGGATTTTAACAGACAAACTTAAATAATAAGGGGTTTTGTACTAACCTTTCCAGATCTCTAGGGATTGGATTGCTTGGGACATTAACCCTATTGGGAGAATCATGCAGTTCCCACAGGTTGAGTCCCATCTTGCCTGGTGGCCTCGCCAGTCTGTTTACATCATTTAATGGTGCCTGCCTGCTTACCTTTACTATGACTGTACTCTGCTGGGCTTTTATCTTCATTTTTCCCCATATTTGTCCTTACGGAGGAGATGCTTTTGAATATTTCCATTTCAGCTTTCAACTCTTTGGGTTAAAGTTGTGCAGTCATGGAGTTCCGCCTAATGGTATATGGTAAACTTACACAGAACACAGTTTACCAGTCACTGTTTTTAATGCCTAATTCATTCACTCCTCAAAGTGAACTATGAAGAATCTAAGTCACAGAGAGTTTATATAACTTGCGCAGGGTCATTTGGATCGTAGGTCTCCAGGCAGAGCTTGGGTCCTGGGACTGTGTCCCCTGGTAGCGGTGAGGACTCCAGGAGGCCTTGGTGTTTGTTTCTCTGTTGGTACACACTGGCTTTGCACCCTGAGCCACATCACTGCTTCAGTTTTCAAGACTGTCCAGTGGAGACACCTGTGGGAGTCCCCAGGTGCCAGCAGAGTTAAAATGAGTCGAAGGATTCTCATCCCTTTAATATGGCCTTGGGGGAGTCATATTATCAACGACCTATTGGTAGTAGGTGGGAAGTCCTTCGCTGCTGTGGAATTAGCCATAGGTCCTGTAGAGTTTGAACACCCTGTGGGCCATCTTCCTTTGCTTCCTTTGGACTTTTCTCATGGAAGTATGTGTGGGGAATGGGTCCTGTGTCATTGAAGGAAAACTTTTTCTAGATATGTAAATGCTACTTGGTTAGACTTTGCTTATTCCTCAATAGTATTAGAATCTATTATATTTAAGAATTTTGAAAAAATGGTTGGCTGTTTCCTCATTGAGTGAAAAAAAGGAAAAGTATTTATATCAGCATTTTGGCTGCTTGATCACTCCATTATGGCAGAGGTTTCATAGTTGTCAATGTTTTCAGAATTTTAAGATACATTTTCTATGAATTACATAAAAAGATCATTGACATAGCTTAGAAGTTCACCAGGAAAATGGATGTGCCTATTTGGATACTTGAGTTTTATGATATTAAGAAAATTGTTTTACATTAATGCAACTGAACTGTTAAACATTCAATGAAAGGACTGTACAAAGATATAAAATTAAATATTTTTATATTTTAAGCTTTTTATACATAATATTTAGTTATGATCATTTCTTCTCTTTTATCCAAATATTTGTGATATTTGGTAAGGTAAAATTCTCTTCATGCATTCTTCCAAACCATTCCTTTCTCTTGTTGAAAGTGAAATTTTCTTTTTCAGAAACTCAAAAGAATATTTCTTCATGGATATTATATGCAAATACATACTACACATCAAGTAGAATATTGAGTAATGGTGGCTAGTACCTTCCAATAAGAAACTATAACTCTTTTTAAACCATTAAAGCATTCAAGAAGTGGTAAATATCATTAGTTCAGTGTACTAGTCTGTTCTCATGCTGCTCATAAAGACATACCTGAGACTGGGTAATTTATATAGGAGAAGGGGTTTAATGGACTTACAGTTCCACACGGCTGGGTTAACCTCCTAATCATGGTGGAAGGCAATGAGGAGCAGGTCACGTCTTACATGGATGGCAGCATGCAAAGAGAGGGCTTGTGCAGGGAAACTCCTGTTTTTAAAACCATCAGATCTCGTGAGACTTATTCACTGTTAGGAGAACAGCCAGGAAAGACCTGCCCCCGTGATTCAATCACCTCCCACCAGGTTCCTCCCGTGACATGTGGGAATTGTGGGAGTTACAATTCAAGATGAGATTTGGGTGAGGACACAGCCAAACCATATCATTCAAGAATGTGGTAAATATCATTAGTTCAGGAATGTTTTCTTGAAATAGTAGAATTTTTACTCGTAAACCAGTAAGAAAAAGACCAGCAACTTACAGGAGTGTGGACAAAGAATAACCTCAGAAGAGCACACAATACAAGAAGCTCAGTGACTCTTGGGCAAACTTATCATAATAAGAGAAACACAGATGAAGAGAAATCCTATTGAAGTGGTGTCTGCTTATCAGATGAGACAGAAATCCCAAGGAGAAGGAACAGGAGAACCTCAGCTTGGTGAGACGGTGGAGGAATAAAGATTCTTAGACATTGCCGTTGAGAGTGCAGGAAGGTGCAAGCTGTGTGGAAGGCAGTTTGGTGGATTTTGCTAAACTTTTATTTTCCCACTGACTCAGTAATTCCACTTCTGGAAATTTCCCCTTAAGTTATAATGTAGAGATCATCTGCATAAAAGTTTGTTTTTTTTGCAGCATTATTTACAATAGCAAAAGAGTGGAAAAATTCAAGTACTTATCAGTAGGATATTGGTTAAATAGACTTTGGAGATCCTTCTAATGAGATCTGTGCCATTGTTGAAAAGAATGAGGGACGTCTCTATGAACTGATGTGGAAGGCTGTCCAAGATACACTGTGAGTGGTACAGTAGGTATCGTATGACACTTCCTATGTTAGAGAAGAGGCAAAACAGTACCTATGAGTGTTTGCTTATATTTTTGTAGTTACATAAGAAAATAATGAGAATAATTATTAGTGTTTTTGGGGTATGAGGGACAGAGGTGGGGAATGTGGCATAAGGGATGAAGGTAGACATGACGTGTAACAATACCATTTTTATCTTTTTTTCTTTTCTATCTAAATAAATGTGTTACCTATTAAAAGGTAACACATATTATTAAAAATGGAGGGTTTTTATAACTGAAAGGGATCCTAAAGATGATTTCATCAACCTTACTTATTTTATATCTAGAGAAATTGAGGCTCAGTTGTGTTAAATGACTTTGCAAATCCTGGTGCAGGGGTGCAGGGGTGCAGGGGTGTCGGGTTAAAAACCCCAGACTTAAGATACCAAATCTAACGCTTTTTCTACACAACCGTATCCACACTTCACTGCTGTTCTGTCTTGCTGATGTTTTGTAATGTTCCTCCTTCTTAGTAATTCTAGAGAGTTTGGGGGGCCTAAAGCAACCTAATTCATGTCAGTGGACCATGGCTTTACACAATTCAGATGGTCAATATATCAAAGCAGTCAGAGAATTACAATTTTAGGGAATAATTTTACAAGGGTCTGTGGTTAAAAGACAGTCATGGCTTCATTCATTGACTCCCTTACTCTCTTGTGAGAGTGCAGTATATTTATTTTTGTAATTAAACTGAATGAGCATTTAGAGGAGGAGGTGGTGGTGGTGATTGTGGTAGTGGTGTTTTACGGTTTCCTTTTGAGGTGGTTGGTTTCACATCTTGCATCTCAACACCAGGATTAAGAGTCATATTGTAGAGATGTTTCAAAGACCATTCTTCACTTTATGAAGGTATGCAAGTAGAAGCTTTTTTAAAAGTAAAAGGTTATTGTGTCTAAATTAAATTCTTAGGTTGACACGTAGAATATGTGGGATTTATTGTACATATTGCCAAGTGATTTCAGATGTTTCCACATGTGTATGTTTCCCATGAATGTATTGGGTTGTCTAAATTTCTGTTAAGAACATGGATGCTGCCTACAATTACAATGTGTTGCTTGACTTCAAAAAGAGGTTGGGAAGCAGCTGTTGAAATGAAAGACTTCCGGTGGTGTAGGAGAAATATATGCAAATAACACAGATATTTTATTGCGTTGTTTTGACTCTGTTCCTACTTAAAAAAAAAATTTGTCCTCACACCTTAGAGACAAGTGAGCTAGAGTGGATACGAGTTTTTCAGTGTGGCTTTCTGTGTAGTAAGGATTTTCCTGGTAAGCAAAAGTTAGAATGTTGGAGATTTTACTCAATTAGTTTAAACCCAATAAACAGCAAGTCAGTTTCACAGGCACTATGAAAAGTGATCAACAAATAAGTAGATCACCTAAGCAAAAATGTGTATAGGTTATCAACCATGACTTTCTATTTTAAAATTATTTCATTAACCTTTCTTGTGTCACATCAAAGATTAGTTGTATAATTAGTGGAGGAAAAGTTCCACCCAGGAACTTTTGTAGAAAATGTTCAGCCTTTAAATTTCTGCTGTAAAAGGTGTGAGCAAAGGCTGAAGTAATTGGCTTACGTTAGCACTTTGATTTGTCTCTGTTTGGCTGACCATTTAATAGACACATAAACTGTTAACACAATTTAGGAAGTAAAGGTGTATTTTAATTATTATTGAGACACAAAGCAGGGAACCGTAAGTCGTATTCTCTTTTCCTAAAGAAAAACCTCAGACACTGACTGATGAGCTTAATCCATTTTGTCACTCACGTTTCAGACATACCAAAGGGGGCAGAAAATAACATAGACGCTCATGGCCCTACCACCTTACTTCAACAGATGCTAACATTCTGCCTTGTTTGATTCGTGTTTTTCAACAATGAAATATGAAACACGAAAGCATTATAGATATAATGAAGACCAAGTCATCCTTAAGTCCTCTGTTTCTCATGCCCCATACCTCATCCATCAGGGAGTCCTGTCCACATTTTCAGAGTCTCACCACTTCTCCTCACAGCCACCTGTTTCAGGCCGCTAGTGAGTCTCACCTGGTTCCTGCAGCAGCCCCTTGTTTAACTCAGGGGTCTCTCAACACTGCAGTCAGATCGATCGTGTTAGAACATAAACCATGGGTCTCTCTGCTCAGACTGTCCAGTGCCTTCCACCCCACCCTGTGTCCAAGTCAAGACTGTGGCAACAGCCTACAGCACCCAGCCGTGCTGACTTCCACTGCCCTGTCCAGCGTCATCTCCCGACTCCCCACTCAGTCTGTCCCAGTCACTCTCATCTCCCTGACGTGGCAC
This sequence comes from Homo sapiens, assembly GCF_000001405.40. NCBI lineage: Eukaryota > Metazoa > Chordata > Mammalia > Primates > Hominidae > Homo > Homo sapiens. Next base: position 7,237,952 of record NC_000010.11, on the reverse strand, counting down.
CTGCTGTTCCCTCTGTGCAGACACCTGTCACCTGACTCAGTCTTGACTCAAGTGCTAACTGCTTGAAGTCGTCTTTCTGGGCTTCCCTGTTCAATCTCAGTAGCAAACCACCACTCCCAACATTTGCATCTCCTTCCCTGCAGTATATCACAGACCTTATCATATAATACACAAATAAGTCATATATACGTCCCTTGTTTGTCTTGTTTTTCATTCATCTCCCCCACTAAAATGAAAGATCCACAGCAGCAGGGGTGTTTGTCAATCACCCACTAGTCATCCTCAGTAGCTGGAATAGTGGGTGGCACTTGGTAGGTATTTGTTGAGGTTGAATGAATTGAAGCTCTGTCCCCATTCTCTCCCACCCCTAGCCCTTCACCCCTCATCCTCCGCAAGGTGAGCACCCTCCTAAAGATTACATGCTTTTATGACATGACTGCATAGGCTTCTTTGTTTATGCCTTACCAGTATCATTGTTTTTATTACCGTCAAATTAAAATAGACCTTATTTGACTATATACATATATAATGCGCTATGCATATCTTTATGTAACTTTTTATTTATTAACATTTTTCAGATTTTTTTCCATGTTGGGGCATGTAGATTGTTTATTCATTTTGCTTGCTTTACGAATATACTGTAATATTTGAAAATTCCATTTTCTATTGGTGAACATTGAAGGGATTTCCAGGTTTCCCTATTGCAAGTGATCCCCAAATGTACATCCAATGTCCCCAAGTGTAAGAGGTGCTTTCAGGGGATATTCCTAAATGTGGAATTGCTGGAATTCTGTAGATAGTACCAAATACTCTCCACGTTGTGTCAGTTTACATTTCTAACATGGTGTTTGAGCATTCCCATTTTGTGTCACCCTCCCTGTTTTGCGGTATTCCCAGGATTAAGCATGGCCCCTCTGAGGGGAGTGAAGTGGATCTCCTCGTTTCAGTGAGGTGGTCCTGATCACTAGGATGGTTGAGCACTGCATCCTACCCTTACTGGCCATCTGTGGTTTTCTTCTTCGGCCCATTTTCTTTTGATCGTAGAAGTAGTTTATATATTCTAACATGAATTCTTTCTCAGCAATGTGCTTCACACATATGATAACCTAGTCTGGCTTGTTTCTTTGCTTTTTAATGGTTTTTTTTAATGGCATATTGAAGTAGTAAATTGTAATGTAGTCAAACAGCCATCTTTCCCTGTATGCATTGTTTATATACCTTTAGAATTCCTTCCTACTGATGTGTTTTCTTTAAAACTTGCAGTTTTACTTTTCCATGTTTAGCTCTGTAACCTACTTGACATTGATTTTTGTATTGGCATGAGGAAGGAAAACTATCTTATTTTTCTTGCTTGAATTGAATTGAAGTTTTTCATTTCCCCACTTGTCTCTGCATCGTTTGTTGAATGGTCTGCTGTTTCCTCTTTGATTTATAATGCCACCACTGTCATGGATCCATCCCTTTGTGGGTGTGACTCTTAACCCTGTTCTTTTTTATTCTGCCTCTTCAGTCTGTTTGTATAGCCCTGAACAAATTGTTATTACTTTATAATAATATAGTCTTGATATCTATTGTTGAGTCACTTTTTCTTTATTTTTGTTCAAAATTTTTGGTTATTTTTGGCAGGCCATTCTTGTACATTAATTTTAGCATTGGTTTGTAAGGTTCTATAAAGAGTCCCATTGGATTTCGGCATTGTGTTGAATTTATAGACTTAGAAAAATTGATATTTTCTTATATTATCTTTTTATAGCTTGCAATCTTTTCTTGGAATATTTCCTAGGTACCTTATCCTTCTGCTTGCTGTGGTGAATGGGATTTCTTTTCATTTCTTATTGGCTGTCAGCTGGTATAAGAGAGTACCACTAATTTTGTATATTTATGTCATATCTAGCTACCTTTCTAAACTGTCTCAAAAACAGTTTGTGTAAGATATGACTTTTGTGATACTTGACAGTTTGGGAAAACTGTCTTATAAACCTATCTGGAGCTGTTGATGTTGTTGGTGTTTTATTGAGTGTGAATTTATTTCCTTTCGTGGATATAAGTTTAGTCAGGGTAACCATTTGTGAGATAGTTTTGGTAATGTACATGTATTTTACAGTATTGTCTGTTTCAGCTGTATTTTCAGATTTATTGCCACATCAGTTGGTCAGGTCAAGTTTATTTATTGAAGTATTCAGATATTCTATATCCTCACTGTATTTTTATCTGTTGTTCTGTAAATTTCCAAATGGTACTTTAAAATATCATTTTGAGATTGAGGATTTGTTAGCTTCTCTTTGTTTTTGTGATGGATATGTTTGTGCAGGGTGTGTATGTGGGGTGTGTGTGTGTATCTAATATGTGATGTGTATGTGTGGTACGTCTGTGTGGTATGTGTCTGTATGTGTGTGCTGTGTGGTTGCGTGTGTGTGTGTGTGGTATGTAGTGTGTGGTGTGAGTGTGTGTGTTTGAAGTTGTGTTAAGGTGTTCAGATTCAGGATCATTAGACTGGCGGAAGCACTCTTTTTTCCTGATAAGGCATTTTGCATTAAAGTTCATTTCTCTGCCCTCCCTCAAGTTGGTTAGTTTCCTTATGTGGTTTGTGATTGTTGATTATGAACTAATTTCAGTGGTGGTTGTTATTTATGTGGCAGTTCCATGTGCCCTGGATTGAAGTCATCTCTATTTATTTGTTACTGTCTCTATCCATCCACTAGGAAATAAACTTCATAGGGTCAAGGGTATTTTTTTAATCTCTTTTGTTCACTGCTGCATCCCCAGCACCAAAAACAATGTCTGGTCCATGAGGGTGTCCCTGATTATTCAAGGAATGAGTGGCTGAATTTGATATTAATTTCTCAGTCTGTGTCCCACGGAATTGGAAAGCTGGACCCCACATCCGTGTGTGCCACTGGCCTGGGGAAGTGCATGATCTCCTTTTTTCTTCTTCAGAACCCCAGGTAGGTAGCCCATCTCTGCTGCCTCTCTGATCCAGTCAGCTTAGTTTGTCTGGTTCTATTTTCATAGACTGGGCTGCTGCCTGGGGCCAGCTGTAGATAGTAGCCTCGGGTCCTCCTGCTCATCTCCCTTGAACCAGGCTGTTGTCTGCCCTCTGTGAGCTGCTCACTGCTCAGCTCTGGCTTTCAGGGCTCTTTCAGGTTTTGGTTTTTTATTTTTTACTTTTTTTTTGGTGTCTGGAGATTTTCTTCTCTTTTGACTTGGGCTATGTAATTTTTCAAAATTATATTTCATCTGATATCTGTAGGGAGACTGTCAGATCGTCCCGCCCGGCTACTGGACTTGGAAGCAAGTCTCATTTCTAGCTTTCTGATTCATTCTTGAGCAAAACGGTCACTTTTGATTGAAAAGAGTTGGTATAGTAAAACTCTCTAGGTCATTTTTAATATCTGAAAATACTTCTGATTGTTGAAAACTAAGAAGAACCTTTTATGTTATCCTTAAATTCACTTCATTCTTCAGGATCTGTAAGATATTTTTGCCATTGACAGCTGATATTTATATGATGTTAGACCCCATCCTGGGCACATACCTGTGTCCCGTAACATTGTGTTTATAATTCAGAATAACATGTAGAACATTCCCTCAGCAGAGAAGTATATTAAGTGTCATACCATGACCAAGATGAAATACTTCTCAACATAATGTTTTAAAAGATAAGGAAGGCGGTAGGGCTAGTGCTTATATTATTGTCTTCTTTGTTTCTCTTCCTTATTTTCTGTTTGTTTGTTTGTTTTTTTCCTGCACTGTTCCATGAACGTAAAAACACAGAGTAATTCAATTGGGAATGAATGAAAGTGTCACTTTTAAAGACCAGTATCAAGGAAGGCTTGAAACTGAACATCACCCAAGACTGTGGAGGTAGCTAGAAGATTTCAAGAGGGAGGTTGTAGTTTTTTAGCAAACAGCATCGACAAGAACAAATGCTTTAGTCAGTCGCTGATGTTTGCTGTCCTGCCTGTAAGCCTGCAATGTACACAAACTCCTTTGTGAAACAGGTGGAGGCAATGTTGAGAAAGTTGTTTTCTGGAATAGACAGACTGGCTCCTGGGACAGGTTCTGCCAGCTGAGGTCTGTGCAATCTTGCCTCCCTGCCAGGGCCATGGGACATTCATCCCCTGAAGGGTTGCCACAGAGCCCCTGGCTTTAGTGGGTGTTCAAGGAATGTTGGTTGCCTCAAAAACAACAAAAACTTGGGCTTGAAAGGAGAAAGATCAGCTGTCAATTGGAAGAGTAAGGCATTGCAAAAATGCCCCGAAGTGCTGCTCTGTGAGTTGTGAAACTTTCTCAGAAAGGACTGAGAACCTGTTCTTAGAACTTAGGTTCTGTTGCATCAACATTTATGCACATATCTGGGTCCTGGTATTTGCTGACTTTGAAGATGATTGTATCACTTTTCCTTTCCAAGGGAGGTGGAACTGAAAACTAAATAAGCTTGCTATTTACACATGCTCTTCTAACATTTAATAGAGTAAACATTCTCTGGGGTGAGGAAGATCTCTCTATGGAGCTGTTTGCTCTGCAGTAGTGAGATCTTCAGAGCCTTCTTCCCTCACTCTCTGAGTGTCCCTCCATCCTTGCTTTTACCTCACTGTGTTATCGGTGTCAGGCTGTGTGTCTGTTACTCCCAGTAGTCGCTGGAGCCTGAGGATTTTGACACGTTACCAAATTGACATCTACAGTGGTTTTTTAAAGTTCCACTCCCACCACAAACACATAAAAACGCCTGCTTCCTAACAGCCTTTAGAATGGTGGATTCTTAGTGTTGTTTTTCATTCTGCCAGCCAGGTAGATAGCAAACATGGTATTCCTTTGCTATTTTTATTTTTTATTAAGATTGTATATGTATTTTTCGTAGCCACCCAGGATAGAAGAGGAGTTTTTATTCCTGCATGTCTCTTTTGTTAGAGAGAGAATTTTTTTCTGTAAACCCTTCTCCTACCCATCTTAAGCCTCCTGAAAAGGGCATATGGCTACCATGAGCATCTCAAGATGGTCCTGATTCACTTCCTCCAGGAACTGGATAAAGTCAGGATTCTACTGGCAAAGCTGGAGGAAGGCTGAGGGGAGGCAGTCATGGTGTATTTCATGTGCTGAGTGGACTCTGGATTGATCGACCAATGCCTTAATTACCATTTAAAATAGGGCAAAGATTCTGTGTTTTCAAATAATTTTTTATTAATGAAATAATTTTGTGATCATTATTAAAAACTTGGAAAAATACAAAGAGGTCAAAGAAGAAAGTAGCCAAGAGTCCCACCACCCAACAATTATTGTAATATTTATTATTAAGGTTTTTGTACATTTTCTCTGGTCTTCATCTTTGCATATTTTATATGAATCTAATAATTCTGTATATGTTTATAGCAGTCTTTTCATCTAAAGCCATAGCAGTTATTTTTTATGAATTTTTTAAAACTACGTGCCGTTTCATGCCTGTGTGGCATTCTACAGACTTGGAGAAGTCTCATCTCATTTTCTATTACTGCACAGAAGGTTATTTCATTTTTTTTCCTCCAGTGTTACCAGTCATAATGCCGTAAGTGTCTTCATGTATAACACCTTTTTCAGTTTTTAGGGTCATTTTTATGGGATAAGTTCCCAGAAGTGAAATGGTTGCGTCAAAGGGTAGGAGTTTTTTTTTAATGCCAAATAGTTTTTCCAAAGAATTGTCCATTTACACTGCCAATAATGATGTGTGCAAATAGAGCTGTTTTATGTCAATTAGTTTGTATCCGAGGGAAATGGGTCATCAACCTCTTCCCTTTTGGACCTGTAAGGGTTGAAACTTCATTCAGAATAAACACTAATAAAAGCTTAAATAAGTCTAATGGTTGTGGTTCAACAGTCTCTCAGGGAAGCTTGCTGCAAAGTTTAATTGCCTAAGGGGTTTTATTTCCTTTCATTTTCTTCTCCCCTCTGCTGTTTTCCTCCCTCCCTCCAGGTTTAAAATGTGTTTTCCTGGCCACAGTTAAGCCTTAGTACGTCTTGTTCTGTCTTTGTTGATTAATGAGTATAATTGACCCTGTCATCTCTATTATACCATCCACAGCAATTTGTTTTTATGTCGCAGTTATTTTCTGAGCTGTCACAAAACTGCCTTACAAAGACAGCTCATTATCAGCCCAAAGGAAAAGAATTTGAAATGATGAAGTGAGTAAAGGTCCCGAAGAGGAGGAGGAGGAGGGGACAGAGGAGTCTAAGCTGTTGGAATGTCAGGGAAATGAGCAACATTGTTCTAGGGACGGAATAATTAACTGTTGCTTACAACATAGCCAGCAAGACTTGATTTTATCTAGAAATTATCAGATTAGAAATGGCTCTCCATAGACAGAGTGTGGAGGACTGGGTGAATAGATAGAAGGCCTGAATGTACGTCCAAGAAAACACGAGGCATGACATTTTAGAGAGTGGGTTGAAGCTCATTAGAAGTTAGTTATAGAAAGCCCAGCTTAATGTCTTTGTGTAGGGAATAGCGGTGACTTCCAGGTGGGAAAGTTTTATCTGAACATGTATGGACCATAAAGATTACCCACATGCCAGGCTGTGTCAGAAAATGCTTTGCTATTTTTCTATATAGTTTTCTCTCATTTCCCTCCTCCCCACCCCAGGGATCTCATCTAGTTTTCTTCACTCTTGAAATTAACTCAGGAAATAGCAGAGGTCCAGGAAGAGATAGTGGAACAGAAGGAGATCTTGACTTTAACAAAGTCCGTCTTCCAAAACCCCAGACAGATGGGATCATTGTGTTACAGAGATGTGTCTTCACAGATGGAGTCGTGAGTCTTCTTAGAGGAATGCCTTGTTAGGTAACTGCTCGTCATCCAGCCACGTTACACTTTTCTTTTAGGAGCAGAGAAGGGAATTAACCACAGAGAGTTGGGGGAAAAAAATCCTTAGTAGCAACAGTAAAATAATTAGTGATGGTGGTTCTGAATCATAGAATGTGACAGCAGAGGGATCTAAAAGCTTTTCTCTTTATTTACTTTATTTTATTTATTTTTATTTCGTGTTTTGAGAGACAGAGTCTTGCTCTGTTGCCCAGGCTGGAGTGCAGTGGTGTGATGTTGGCTCACAGCAATCTCCGCCTCCGGGTTCAAGCAATTCTCCTGCCTCAGCCTCCTGAGTAGCTGGGATTACAGGCATGCACCACCACTCCCGCCTAATTTTTGTATTTGTAGTAGAGACAAGGTTTTACGATGTTGGTCAGGCTGTTCTCAAACTCCTGACCTCATGATCTGCCTCTGCCTCAGCCTCCCAAAGTGCTGGGATTATGGGTGTGAGCCACCGCACCCAGACGCTTTTCTTTTTATTTTGTGAATTTGTAGATGAGGAAAGTGGGGCACAGAAGATTTAATCTACTTTTTCCTGGCTCCCTCCCATTACTGGGAGAGCTGGGTCTTAAACCCAGATACCCTCTTCTCCAGTTCCAGGCCCTTTGTCCTGTTAAGAAACTTCTCCGTTTGACGTGTCTTGAGGCTAATTCTTCTACAGTAATATGAGGCTTTGATCCAGACAGCTCCAGAGAAACTACGCTCAAAGTGGAGGGTTTTCTTAATTGTAGAGAAACTCACATTACATTACCTTGTTTGTGAGATGTGTTCTGTTGTATTCAGAAAGGTTCAGAAGAAAGTCGGCTCTGGTCCTGTCTAGAAATCTTTGATGCAGGAGCCATTTAGCTGGAGGGGAGCTTTAGAGAGAAGGGCAGGAGAAAGGGCAGGTGGAAGAACTCGAAGAACCTCTTTGAAAGTGGCTGGAAAGAATTTTCAGTCTTTATAGAATGAAACAGCTGTCTTAAGAAAGAAGGGGACCTGCCACTGATGGTCAGCAGGATATGGGAAGGTCACGGGTCAGTCTCTGGGACCCAAGAAGCACAGCTGCTTTTTTGCTTAACTGTCACCCTCCCATCTTAAATATATATATATATATATAGGGCTGGGCGGGGTGGCTCATGTCTGTAATCCCAGCACTTTGGGATGCTGAGGTGGGTGGATCATAAGGTCAGGAGTTCGAGACCAGCCCGGCCAATATGGTGCAACCTCGTCTCTATGAAAAATAAAAATTAGCCAGGCATGGTGGCGGGCGCCTGTAGTCCCAGCTACTCAGGAGGCTGAGGCAGGAGAATTGCTTGAACCCAGGAGGCACAGGTTGCAGTGAGCCGAGATCATGCCACTGCACTTCAGCCTGGGTAACAGAGTGAGACTCCATCACAAAAAAAAAAACAACAACAACAAAAAATAGGATATATTGAGATTGCTTATTGAAAATAATTCGTATTCTTTGCTTGGGAATACAAGTGGAGGCAACCAGTATCTTCAGTGTCTTGAGTTTCTTTCTTTCTTTTTTTTTTTTTTTGAGATGGAGTCTTGCTCTGTCACCCAGGCTGGAGTGCAGTGGGGAGATCTCGGCTCACTGCAACCTCCACCTCACTGCAACCTCTGCCTCACGGGTTTGAGCAATTATCTGCCACAGCCTCCCGAGTAGCTGGGATTACAAGCACCCACCACCACACCTGGCTAATTTTTGTGTTTTTAGTAGAGAAGGGGTTTCACCATCTTGGCCAGGCTGGTCTTGAACTGCTGATCTTGTGATCCACCCGCCTCGGCCTCCCAAAGTGCTGGGATTACAGGCGTGAGCCACCGCGCCCGGCCTATGTTGAGTTTCTTTAATAAAGAATTTCCATAGTCCCTCTGCATCTGATTTAGTAACTAAAAGTCCTTATGATAAGTGAGTTTGCACTCATAGAATCTGTGACAATATGGGGAAAAGAAACTGGGGGATTTGGATAAAAAAACATAAGAAATCTCTTAGAGATTTACTTCATGTAGATTTCCACCAACAGAGAGCACTGTCAATGAAGATACTAGGGGCATTTACACACTTCAGTGAATCACAGTTGGACTGTGTTTTTCCTTTGCTTGTTTACAGGAAGGTTTTGACACCTCACTCCTTTTTCCTTGCCTGTCCATTGGTTTGATTTTGTGCCGATGAGACTCCCATTAAGAGGCATTTTCCTCCCTGGGTTATGCCTTTCTTAGGTATAATTCAGTCCTCTTTTCTCTCACCTCGTCTCCTGTCTTGCCATGGCCATGATGGACATTTATATAGTTGCATCTTCCCCCCAAAAATGAAGTGAATACAAAGAAAGAGAGAGAGAGAGGGAGGGGGAGAGAGAGAGAGAGAGAGAGAGAGAGAGAGAGAGAGAGAGAGAAAGGAAAGAAAGAAAGAAAGAAAGAAAGAAAGAAAGAAAGAAAGAAAGAAAGAAAGAAAGAAAGAAGCCACTTTAGTAGGATCTGTAGTTGGTTACATTCAGTGTATATGAAGAGTTGTTGTTCAAATGCCTCTCTCAGTATATCCAAACTGCCCCCAGAGCTTTGCAGCAGAGACCTGCCTCCTGCAATTCTCATGTTCCTTCAGCCTCAGCAGGTCAGTTCCAGGGCAACGTTTGCCTTCCTTCCCTCATTTCTCTGGGAGCTTTTCTCTCCAAACCCTCTACTCTTTGTTGCCCTCTTCTCTACCTTCTGTTACTTTTTAAAAAGTCGTCCCTGGTACTGTTTTGTTTTTTTTTTTTTTAATTTTTTATTTCCCAGTAAAATCTCATGTTTTCCATAAAGACACCGAAAAGTAAGCTCCCACGAACTCAGGCTTCCTATGAAGGGAGATGTCATTGTCTATCTCTGCACAGTGCGTGGTGAGAGTGTATTTTATGCCATATCCTGGCTCAGCTCTTCCCCCTTATGGCAAATCCCCCCACCGGCTGGTGCCGCCATGGGTAAGTTCCACCCTTCCTCACCTGGCTTCAGATAGTGTGTTATAGTAACGATGGTTTACCTGTGTTTAGTACTTTAATTTTTCCAAAATATTTCATCTGAGCTTATGAAATCTGAAGTGCTGTTAGGCATCAGAGGACATTATCTTTTGGGAGCCTAAACTTTCACCCCTTCTGATTTTGCTCATCTGTCTGGGATTTTGCTTAATGTGCGCTGTTTTATCTGTGTTTTGTCATTCCCAGGTTACTCTGGCCAGGACTTCGACTGGGCAGATTATCACAAGCAGCATGGGGCGCAGGAAGCCCCTCCCTTCTGCTTCCGAAATGTAAGAAGCTTCTCTCTTACCTAATTTTTAAAAATCATAGATTTTGTCTACCGTAAGTTTTATAACTTGCTTTTTATTGATGAAGCACGGTTGGAGTATTACAGTGCACTGGAGAACTACAAAATGTCTGTAGTTTTTGGAAAGCTCTGCTTTCAGGTTGTATATTTGCTAGGGTGATGCTGGTCTGTGCTAACAAATTGACTAATAAATGCACAGTGGCTGGAACATGCTAAAAGGTGATGGCCAGGTCTCACTTATGGAAGAGCCCAGGGTCTTCCTGATTAGTAGGTGGTTCTCATTATGGTGAGTAACCTAGCCAGCAGAAGGGAAAGAAATAGAGGAGAAGGTATCACTAGTTCTAAATACTGCAGCCTGATAGCAGTGTATGTTATTGCTGTTTACTTTCTACTGGTGGGAGCTCTTTGCCTGGCTGCACCATGTCACAGGTGAGGCCAGTAAGTGGGTCCTGCCTGGACTTGCTGCCCAGCTGTGATTCTGAACTCTGGAGTGAAGAGGACACGTTTTGGTGGACGGCTGGCCATCTGTTCCCCTGTTAGAGGAACACTTGCTGTGTAGCATCTTATCCACGAACCCACTGATAGGAGAGTCTTTGCTCTTGAGGCCTAGTCTTAAAATGCTGTCTTACCTATTTTGATGGCTTTAATACTTTCTTTGATGTCCAGTTAGATGCTAGTGACTTCTGTGCTTTGCTTACTTTAAGCTACTACCTGCTTCATATAGAGCTAATTGGAACATAATAATAGGATTTTTGTGACACATAAAGTGGCAATGAGTGTGTGTGTGTGTGCACATGCGTGTACTTACAGAGTTATTGGAGGTCGTTTTATAAACTACAGTCATGCATTGCTTAATGATGGGGTTATGTTCTGAGAAATGCATCATCAGGCCGCTTCATTGTTGTGTGAATGTCATAGAGCGTACCTTGTACCTACACAGGCCTAGATGGTATAGCCTATACTACATACAGCTCTGAGATTCATCCATGGCCTGGATGGTATAGCTTATACCACATAGCCTAGGTTATGTGGTATAACCATATAATCATATGGGACCACCATTGTATACGCATTTCATCATTGACTGAAACGTCACTATGCAGTACATGACTGTAGTTTACAAAATTATCAATAATTCTTCAATCCTAGGAACTGTGAGTAGAGATATCAATTATCTCTGTTTTAAGAATTAGGCTTAAATGTATAGTCTACTGTGTTCAACATGCTTTTAGTTAGGAAAGTTAATTTATGTTAAGACAAAAAGATTATAGCCTCCTCTTACTTGAGATCTGTAACAACAGTGCAAAGCACTCGCTGGTCAGAGACTTGTTTGCTGAGCATGTCTTCCTGGAGCTTGCGGTTTCGTTGCTGCCACACTGTCATTGCACTCTAGACATAACAATATGAAAAACGAAGCGAGAAAGGGGTGGCTGCATAGGCAGAAGTTCAAAAGTGAGTGCAAGTCAAAATCAGAGTTTGGAGGATTCAGTAGGTTGATGACTGGGTCAGCTGGTACTTGTAAATACAGAAGCACATCAGCAGCAAGGTTGGAAATCAAGGATCCTTCTATGATTGAACGACCTTGAGAAGTAGCTCAAATCTCAGTCGAGTTCTCTCCTTATCTAGGCTGCTTGGAGCCTGCCTGGCACCTGCATGATCCGGGGAGCAGTCAAAAATCTAGGCAGAATTTACACATAGAATTTGTGGTTCCCAGTCCGGGCTCTCCGCAGGATTGCCACCGAATGATGTCGCCTTTGCACAAGAGCGGTTTCTCTGTATCTTGAAGAACCGAGTGGTGTGTGTTTAGGTGACAGGGCCAGCTGCATAGCCATGCCCCCATGAGGACTGCAGCTGGTTAACTCTGAAAGCTTTGATGTCCTGTGCTGTCTTGACTTCTCACCGTATTGATGTCACAGTCACAGAATCTGCTGGCTTGTCTGCTTTCATTGAGGGCCGTGGAAACATCTTATAGCACCCTAAAACCCTTTTGAGATTGTGTTTTGTACCTGACAAGGTACAAAGAGAAATATTCCTTCCCCGAATCATTAACTTTTGGAAGAAAATCCTTCTCTCTCTCTTTCATTCTATATTTAAAGAGTGATTTCTTCTATGGCAGTATAGTCCTTGCCCCACTAAAGCTTCTTTTTATCAGTCCTCTGTTCCCATTCGCAGCCAGGAATTGTCCACATGGCTTTGAATGGTAGAGTAAATCACCACATTCCCAGGTGGCTTCTGAGCTTTCAGGATTTGTCCACCAAGATGCTCTCTGTTTGGATGAATCTGCGGGCATGTTCAGGAGGAATGTCTTTGTTTCTGGCACTCCGTTTATGTAATAGATAGGATTGTTGACGTATGCATCGCATTGGTGATGCTTTGCTGAATTTGTTAGCTTGCTATAAGTGCTCTTTAACGGAATGCGTATTACGAGTTCATTTTTTAATCACACATCTCCTGTGTATTAGAGGAGAGCTAGTGTGGAATTGGATGCATGGAAGACATTTCCCCAGGGATGTTTAACAGAGGCTGTTATGAAAGGAATCGACACAGTAAAATGCTTGGTAAATAAACTCACAGGTAACAGTTTTGCTATTGATCCTTTATAAATTACCCTCAAGCGGTGGATTGAAATGAAAATAGGTTATGTGGTTGTAGCTTTCCCTTGTTAAGAAGGATAAATGCATTTTAACTTACTTAGAGGTTTTTCAAGCGGCCGATGGGATTGTATTTTCAGAAGGAAGCTCAATACATAATAGCTGTGCGTGAGGCTGGGTAACTTGCAGAAACAAATAGCCCACCTAGAAGATCTTTGCTTCCTATTTCCAAAGAAATGTAAAGGCATGGAGCCAGTTGATTTCTTAACATGCATTGGATCACTTTTTTCAGGTTACATAAAGATATAGTTATATTTTTCAAATTAAGTTTTAGAAAAAGACATGTAAATGTGAATTACCTTGATTTCTTTCCACAAGTCAGAAAAAGAAGTAGTCTCTGTTACTTACAGGAACCTGTTTATCTTGGTATCCATAAGTATATAAATCTATAGTATTATAACATGTCTGATGATAATTTATAGTAGTTGGCAATTTGGGAAAATTTTATATTTATTTTAAAATAATGTTTTCAGTATTGGCTGAGTAAGCTCATACTGAATTGACCCTTCTGCCTGTAGAGCAGCTCTAAAGTCTGGACACAGGACCAAAAACGACTATTTGAAGGTAGTGGAACGTGAGCAAAAGGAGGCAGGAGAACAGGAGACTGGACGAAGGGAATAGCATGGGAGAATTGTCCCATTTTTTTCAGACTTTTAGCTTGAGGGCAGCCACAGTTGACGACATGTGGGAGAGTGATATAAAATTCATGGTCTCTCTGGCCTGATGAACCATATTACAAAATTTGGGCAACCACAGATCCTGGAAAGTGAGGGGAGACTCAGACAGTGGAGAGCCAGGATCGGGAACCCCAGATTCCATGTGTAAATTCTGTCTATGTTTTTATGGTGATTCCTGAATCATGTAGGTGCCAGGAAGACTCCAAGCAGCCTAGGAGAGGTGAACTCAATTGAGATTTGAGCTGCTTCTCAAGAGGCAGAGTCTGTAGTTTCAGTCCAACCAAGGTGATAGCTTGATAAAATAGAAAAGTTGACACTTTTGGTAGGAATATAACGTAATCCAGAGTCGCCACAACATAACATTTAAAATATCCATTCTTTAATTCCCACATTGCTCAAGACAAATGGGAAAATCAGCCTCATTCCCAATAGAAAAGAAGAAATGGGAAAATCGCCTCATTATCAATAGAAAAGATAATCAACATAGACTAAACCAAGCATAGACTAAACCCATCATGACCCAGGTGTTGGAATGAGCAGACAAGTATTTTCAAGCCCCTATTGTAACTAAGTGTGATGTAAAGCAGTGGTCCTTTAAAGGGTGGTCGTGAGACCAGCAGCCTCGGTATCACCTGGGCACTTTTCAGAAATACACATTCTCTGGCTCCACCTACAATCAACTGAATCAAAACGTTGGGGAGAAGCCCAGAAGTTTATATTTTTAAAAGATTTTCAAGGGGATTCTGATCCTAAAGTTTAAGAACTGTAGATATAAAGGAAAATATTCTCATAATGAATGAAAAGATAGGAAGTCCCAGAGAAGAAGTAGAAACTATAAAAAAGAGAAATTCTAGAACTCAAAAATACAATATTTGAAATCAACAAATTTATTGGATTAGCTTAATCGGAACGAGAGAGGAAAGAGTCCATGACCTTGAAAATAGAAATTATTTTGTCTGAAAAACAGAAGATGGGCAGGGAAATGAAGGACAAATGGAATCTCAGGATCTGAGGGACAATTATTATGTAGAATTGAAGACCCAAAAGAGGTGGCTGAATAAGAATTAAAAAAGACATTTCATCAAAGAAGATGTATGGATCACAAAAAAACATGCTCAGCATCAGTAGTCAGCAGGGCAAATGCAAGCTAACACCACCGTGAGACACCACTAGATACCTATTACAATGGCTGGATTTTGAAAAACTGGCAATACCAGGTGCTGATGAAGATGTGTAGCAACTAAAACTCTCACACACTGCTCATGGGAATGCAAAATGCTGTAGCAACTTTGGCAAACATTTTGGCAGCTTCTTAGAAGGTTAAATATTCATTTACCATATGGTCTAGCGGTCCCATCTCTAAAAACAGGCAAACTTAATGGTATGGGTTGAATTGTGCCTCCCTCAAATTCATATGTTCAAATCCTAACCCCCAATACCTCAGCATGTGAGTGTCTTTGGAGATACGGTCTTTAAAGAAGTAATTAAGATAAAATGAGGTCCTATGGATGGACCCTCATCCAGTGTGACTGGCGTCCTTATAAGAAAAGAGGGGGCCAGGCTCAGTGGCTCACACCTGTAATCCCAGCACTTAGGGAGGCCAAGATGTCAGGAGTTCGAGATCAGCCTGGCCAACATGGTGAAACCCCAACTCTACTAAAAATATAAAAAAATTAGCTGGGCATGGTGGGGCATTCCTATAGTCCCAGCTACTCAGGATGCTGAGGCAGGAGAATCGCTTGAACCCAGGAGGCAGAGGTTGCAGTGAGCTGAGATCATGCCACTATACTCAAGCCTGGGTGACAGAATGAGACCCTGTCTCAAAAAAAAAAAAAGAAGATGGGGATTGAACCCCAGCAGATCTTAATGGCTTAGCTAGTTTCCCCACCTGTAAAAATCAGGACACTCTTACTGCTGTTTGTGTTAGGTAATTAACAGCCGTAAAGCATGCTGAAAGTAGAAACTGCTAAATACACACAGAGGCCTGACCACATGAGGACACAGGGAGAAGACAACATCCACAAGTCAAGGAGAGAGACCTCCAAAGAAGCCACCCCTGCTGACACCCTGATCTCTGACTTCCAGCCTCCAGGACCATGACAAAATAAATTTTTGTTGCTTAAACTTCACAGTCTGTCGTATTTTGCCACAGCAGCCTGAGCAGATTAATATACTTACGTTTACATGAAAAGTTGTACCAGAATGTTTAATGTTTATGGCAGCTTTAATCACAATCACTGAAAATGACTCAAATGTCCTTTAACTGGTAAGTGGATAGATAAGCTCTGGTGCATCTGTACAAACTACTCAGCAAGAAAGCAGCACAAACTTCCATTTCATGTAATAGCATGGATGAATCTCAGTGTATTATACTAAGTGAAAGAAGCCAGACTCGAAAGGCTACAGATATTGAGTCCATTTACATGACTTACAGAATAAAATGGGGATTCTGATCCTAAAGTTTAAGAACTATAGTTATACAGGAAAATTTTCTCATAATGAGAATATAAAGAAAGATAAAGGAAATTATAAGAACAGAAAACAGATTGGTGGTTGCCAGGAACTGAGTGCTTTGGAGGGACTAATTACCAAAGGTCCCCAATGCAAGGGTATTTTGGGGGTGAAGGGATGGTTCTGTGTGTTGATTGTGGTTGTAGCTGCATAATGAAATTCACTGGTCTCACAGCCCTACCCTCGGAGAACAGTATACCCAAAAGACTGAATTTTACTCTATGTAAAAATGTTTAAAGTGATCTTAAAAAGATAGCAATAAACAATAGCAATAAACAAAATTAGCAATAAACAAAAAGAACAAAGGAAAATAATAGCAATAAACAAAAAGAACAAGGGAAAATAAAGATAGTTTCAAATAAAACCACAAGAATTCATCATCAAAAAGAACTACACTATTATGAAAAAATCTTTTTTTTTTTTTTCCTCATTTGAGACAGAGTCTCACTCTGTCGCCCAGGCTGGAGTGCAGTGGCGAGATCTCAGCTCACTGCAACCTCTGCCTCCCAGGTTCCAGTGAGTCTCTTGCCTCAGCCTCCCGAGTAGCCGGGATTACGGGCATGTGCCACCATGCTCAGCTAATTTTTGTATTTTAGTAGAGTTGGAGTTTCATCATGTTAGCCAGGCTGGTCTTGAACTCCTGACCTCAAGTGATCCACCTGCCTCAGCCTCCTAAAGTGCTGGGATTACAGGCATGAGCCACCACACCCGACCTTTTACTACGAAAAATTCTAAAGGATATTTTTCCCATTTCCTGTAAAGGAAAATGATGCCGGATGGAAATTCCGTGTTCCCACTTGAACTGTTATCAATGGGTATAGGAAGGTGGAGGAAATGGTGTGTACTTCAGTGATCCCATAGAAGGAAGGGTGCAGCCGGGCACGGTGGCTCACACCTGTAATCCCAGCACTTTGGGAGGCTGAGGCAGGTGGATCACAAGGCCAGGAGATCGAGACCATCCTGGCTAACATGGTGAAACCCTGTCTCTACTAAAAATACAAAAAATTAGCCAGGCATGATGGCAGGTGCCTGTAGTCCCAGCTACTCAGGAGGCTGAGTTAGGAGAATGGCGTGAACCCGGGAGGCGGAACTGGCAGTGAGCCGAGATCACGCCACTGCACTCCAGTCTGGGCATCAGAGCCAGACTCTGTCTCAAAAACAAAAAAAAAAAAGAAGGAAGGGTGCATATGGAACTGGAAAGAGAATGAATTCATACTCTCACTCGTTTAACAAATAGTATTAGGCACCTACTATGTGCTAGGCATAGTTCTAATTTCTGGGAAACAAAAATGAAGACCACCTGGTTCTTTCTTCATGAACAGTGGGAAGGACAAACACATACGTGAGCCTGTCTTGTCGATGTAAGATGCGTGTGCGTGCATTTCTTTCTCTTTCTTCATCTGCCCAGCTTTGTCCTGCTGCGTCAGCACTGGCTCAGTGTTGGTCTCGTTTCTCTTGCAGACATCATTCAGTCGAGGTTTCACAAAGAACATGAAACTTGAAGCTGTGAACCCCAGGAATCCAGGAGAACTGTGTGTGGCCTCCGTTGTGAGTGTGAAGGGGCGGCTAATGTGGCTTCACCTGGAAGGTACGTACTCGCTGGGGGTAGCAGTCGCTGGGGGGAATGTAGAGTTTGTCGAAATGGCAACGTGTGGAGGAAAGCAGCCCTTCTCAGAAGGGGCCTTACTTCTCTTTCATTTAAACAGATCTTAAATTATTCCGTGTTCTTAAATCAGTGAAACTAATCAAACATAAATGTAGTCAGAGGCTCTCATCTTAACTAATAATTTCATGCAATGAGATGCTGGCAAGATAATTATGTTTGGAACACAGTGGTCTTTTTACATCTATGATTAGAAAAGCAAATGTCACAATTAAATTAATGTGAGTCACTAAAACTGAGATTCCAGGTCTCGGTTATTATCAGGACAAAATTGTACATTTGTATTTTAATGTGGTTATATCCTTTACTTTGATTTCTTTCGTAGTTGTTTAATTCTTCCTCAAAATAGTACCTGGAGGATGACTTTCTCCCCAAATGTCTAATAAACAGAATTTAGGCTTGTTTGTTCAGTGATGTTGAAACTATCCTTTATAGCTATAGCGTATTTACAGGTGCAAGAAAATTCACAGAATGCTGTATTTTGTGAACAGAATCCTGATCATACTTTATATTTAAGTAGAAAACCATATTTTCTAGGTGGTGGGTTTTCAGTGATAAATAATTACAATGGATTTGATCTCCAAGACTTTCCCATCTTTCTGTGATTTATAATTCTTTGGTTTTTTTTCCTAGGATTTCATAATACTCAGTAGTTATTTCAAGTATATATGCAAAAATGAATAGATATGAATAGTAAAATAAAGTTAGCTCTCCTAGTTCATAGTTTAAATCTTATGACTTACTCAATACCATGATTGGAATAAAGAGTTTAGAAGGAAAATCATAGAATTGGTGCTCAGATCTCCATTTTTATTTCCTCACTATGCATCTATAAAATGTCTGCAAAGGTCTTAAATAAGCCTACAATCTCATACATATGTAGTCCAGGGGATTGGGAAATGTGGAAAACAGTCATTGTGGCTGACATCATTGTGTTGCCAATTCCCAGAAAATTGTTTAAAACGTTACTGAAGTTTAGGGTTCCAAAATCAATGTGAAATAAATGGAAATTCCCAAAAAGTTGATTGCTTAGTAGGTTTTCAAGTAGAATGGCCTCTTTCTGGAATTCACGAAAGTGTAGACACAGGCAACGTGGCAACATTTCTGTAGCTTACAGGAATAGAACATGGCTTTATTTTCACAGCTCCACCTAGAGTTGGGTGAACTGCTCTTGGAGAAGCAAGATTCCTTCTGTATTTTGTAATGACTAAATTTAACTTGCTATCTAACACTATGCTGAGCCATCTTAACAAGATTGGACTCTTGTTTGCATTATTAATTTGAAAACAAAAATGGTCAAGTTAAAAGCCCATGTTTTATCCTTATTACTTAGTGCGTTATGGTTAAAATTCTTTTGCAGTCATTATTTATTTAGCAGTTTCTACTTTCAGCATGCTTTATGACTGTTAATTACCTAACAGAAACAGCAGTAAGAGTGTCCTGATTTTTATAGGTGGAGAAACTAGCTAAGCTATTAAGATCTGCCTGGGGTTCAATTCCATTGCTCTTGACATTTTCTCTGTTGCTTAATTCCCCAGACCCTACGGCTTCCCACGTCTTAAAAAAGAGTGATGAACAACATTTAGTGTATATTTAACATTTTGGGCAGTATTTTCTTCTTTGTCCTGTTCTCTTTGAATACAGATTTTTGATTTTCTAGCAAAGAAATAGAAGTCAGCTCATGTCCGATCTTTTTCTTATTCCCCAGAGTGTTTTCATTGGGTAGTGATGAAAATTAGTTAGTGTTAGGAAACAGATCAGAAAATATACATTGACCATTTTTCCAGACCTGATTCGTTGTTCTAAAAAGTGTTTGTAAACAGTCTGTTGAGTCTTATCTGTTGAATAGTATATTACCTGTAATTATTGCTCAAAATCATGCATCTTTTTCATTACTTACAAAAGATACTGCATACAAATAAAGTAAAATTCCAGTCAGTTTCCTGGGTCTTGCTTGAATTTTGGTTTTGGTTTTGATTTTGGCCCTTACTGAGCACTGACCTTTCAGAGTGACAGCTTAATGGCACTTAGCTCTCATTATTTCAGTTTTATCTATCTAGTGTTTCCTTTCCTCCATGTTGGGAATAAAATGATAGAGTTTCATCATGGTCACTTTGTGGCTGCTAAATTTTTTTATCTAATGATGATTATTCCGATTATAGGCCATTTATTTGACACTTTAAATTTATAAAGTACTTTGTAACAATTTTATTAGTTATTTTCGTGCATTAAATTGATTTGAAGTGTTTTCAACACTAGACTGACCACTTTTAGGTAATTAAAATAATTCTTTCTAGTTAATATCTGACTTCTCTTGAAGTTGATTCATTCTTTACGTGTCTCTAAAGGGGCTGTTGTTGAAGAGGGAGCAATGAATAAACTACATGAGATTAATGTAATATCATTTTAAGTGCATATTTGAAAAGAATTTTAAGCTCTCAGAAACCACTGGTAGTTAGCAAGGGTGACTGATGATGATGGGGCCAGTGTTCCGGAAAGGAGGCAGTGCCTTCTCCTAGGTCAGTGTTCTGCTGCAGGTCATCATGTCTGTAACTGTGAATATTGTTCATATAATACAAGTTACTTTCAGTCTTAGGTCTCTAGCATTATGGCCGCACACACTGGCTCCCACACTCACAGCTCTGCCTTTCCACAAACCAAGTGACTTTCTATTCATTTCCAGTCCTTTTTTTATGGGACAAATACATTGGTCCAGCAGTTCGGTATGCTCTCCTAGCTCTTTAGCCCAGAAGAAGGTTCGCCTGCTTGCATTGTCTTCCTTAGCATCTTTTTTTGGAGTCTTGTTTCTCAGAATCATTTTTCCTGGACACCTGGCTAAATATATACATGCGCGCCACTTACATGCACTTCAAATGAGACCTGGTAGATTTCTAGCTCACGTTTAGCAGTTAATGCAAGAGATTGACAAGAACTTTTGGGTGGTTTCATTGAGATATTTTATTGAAAAAATTTTTCATTTTTAAGAATGGTTTTAAAATATATGTAACATCAAATTTACCACTTTAGTCATTTTAAATTATACAGTTCAGTGGCCTAAAGTTTATTTACACAGTTATATACCCATCACCACCATCCATCTCCAGAACATTTTTCGTCTTGCAAAACTGAAACTCTCTCCCCGTTAAAGTCTCCCTTCCCTCCTCAGCCCCTGACTGGCACCATTCTCCTTCCCGTCTCTATGAAGTTGATGACTTCAAGTACCTCACATGAGTCAAATCATGCTGGATTTGTCTGAAAATGGCCTTTTACAAGATTTATTATCAATCATAAATAATGCTTTATGTTTATCTACTTTCATCATAATTTACCATATTGTCTTTTTGGTCCTCATAGACCTGGCCACCTATTGGCAAGAATATTAAATTGTAGGTGGCTTGTTGTTAATGGAGGACTGAAGAGTTAGTTGATAGAGGGGCTGGTCCTGATTCCTCGGCTTCCTTGGAAGTGTCCCCAGGGACACATTAAAAGGACTAGGGACACAGAGGAGGAAGAACAGGTTTGGAAGGAGACAGATTTGAATAGCAACAGTTGCATTTTAAGATACGGATGGGGATTCCAGGTGAGGAGGCATAGGGAGTGGCGGGAATTTTGACACTGAGGCCCTCATCAGAGGCTACAGGATATGTGGGGACGGTGACCACAAACTTTGCTTAAACGAGGAGACTTTTAGAAGCAAACGGGGCACTAGCCAGATGGGGCACTGGCAAGGAGGGGACAGCAAGATAGCTCGGTAGTCACTTGAGCCACTGTATTAGTCCACTTTCATGCTGCTGATGAAGACATACTCAAGACTGATGAGAAAAATAGGTTTAATGGACTCACAGTTCCACATGGCTGGATAGGCCTCACAATCATGGCGGAAGCTGAAAATCACGTCTTACATGGCGGCGGCAGGAGAGAATGAGGCCAAGCAAAAAGGGAAACCCCTTCTAAAACCATCAGATCTTGTGAGACTTGTTCACTACCATGAGATCAGTATGGGGGAGCTGCCCCCCATGATTCAGTTATCTCCCACCAGGCCCCTCCCACAACACATGGGAATTTGGGGAGCTACAATTCAAGATGAGATTTGGGTGGGGACACAGCCAAACCATATCAGTCACCATGATCTGCGGTCTGCGATGGGAGCGGGGTCGGCTGCAGTCACAGCAGTTTGGAGCCAGGCAGTGCCAGGTGTGAACGCAGGCTCCTGGTGGCCCTGTGGCCTTGAGCACGTTGCTTAAGCCCTGGTTTCCCCATTTCTAAAATGGCAATCATGGTGTTACTTATAGCAGGGGCTTGGTTTGCATTAAAGCAGTTAGCAGAGTTTCCAGGAAGAATTTTCCGAGAGAGAATGAAGAGGAAATTCTCAGGAGCCAGAGAGGGACTCTGTGATGAACCTGGTTCCTTGAGAATGTGCTCAAGTCTTAGGCACTGAGCTGCTCCTGGTGGCTGGGATGAACAGACAATCCCATGGGGGTCTATACCGCCTAGCGAGTTTGTCTACTGTGTTCGATGCACGGGGAGCCATCCCTAGTAGACCCTCAAGCCAAACACAGCAGGGAAGGAGGAGGGAAGCAGGTCAGGCCCTGATGTCTATGAAGTTGAGTCAGTGGGCTTAAATTCATCGGCCAGCCGCCCTCTGGCACCTGCAGCGGACTCTCCTCCCTGCAGGGTTCTGTGCTGCCTCTGCGGGGCCCTGCCTCCATGGATGTGAGCCATGCAGGTGAACCCAGGTTCTGATTGCCTAGGGAGGGATTCCAGTGCTTGGTTGAGCAGAGCAGTGCCCTGGAGCCCCCATGTACAGTGTTGGATAAAACAACCCCTGCCTCAGGAGATGATTGCAACATTAATTAATCTATGGAGATCCCCTAAAACAGGTTCAAGACCATAGGAAACATTTGGAAGATGTTCTGTATATTTTTGTTTTGTTTTGAGACAGGGTCTTGCTCTTGTCACCCAGACTGGAGTGTGGTGGTGTGATCACGGCTCACTGCAGCCTCAGACTCCTCAAATAATCCTTCCACCTCAGCCTCCTGAGTAGCTGGAACTTCAGGCACGTGCCACCACACCTGGCTAATTTCTTTTGTATTTTTAGTAGAGATGCGGGTCCCACTATGTTGCCCAGGGTGGTCTCAAACTCCTGGGCTCAAGTGATCTGCCCACCTTGGCCTCCCAAAATGCCGGGATTACAGGTGTGAACCACCACGCCCAGCCTGTTTTCTCTGTTTTTGTCCTCATCATGATTCATACACTTTTCCTCCTATTTAGAAGGAATGTGATCAGCTCTCTCTTCCCCAGTGCTGAGTATTTTAGCCTTTTAGTTGAGGCAGAAATGCCTTTCATGTCACAAGAGTTAGGAAGACAAGCAGACTTCCTTACTTCTGAGTTATTTAGCTCTTTCAGTTGTTACCACTGCAGAAATTGTTGAAGAGAGCTTTAGAGTGCGAATAACAAAACCCAGTTTTGAACTGGGGAGCCCTGTTATAAATTAAAACAGGCATGGAATCTGCAGTTAGTGTTTTTGTGCTTTGAATGGGTGGGAAAAATAAATAATGACAAAACACACCCTACAGGTATCAAGCTAGGAATCTGTGCTGTGCACAGCTTTGGACAGTAAGTTTTTGGAGTTCAGGAATTGCCTCCTTGTACCACGAACTTCACATTCCACACTGACAAGCACAGCACTTACGTGCAAGGCAGGTCCGCTACGTGTGTAGTTTCTGATTTCTGCAAGTGTGTTTGAGGAGCAGTATGGGGATCCCATAAGTCCGTAGAATTTCCTCATAGGTATTTAAACACAAGAAGCAGTGATAGCTCAGGAATAAATCTAATCTGTCCTTTGCCCATCTTAAGAAATGCGTCACTCTGCAATTGTCCGGTGGCATCTTCCCATTTATCTGACTGGTTGGTGGAGGTGGGTTAGTTCTCTGAACTCATGCTGTTATGCTGGCCTTTCCTTCTCCACTTGCTTCATTTGTACCCAGCATCCAAGACAGGAACGCAACACAGCAACCCACAGGGGAAGTTCCCCAACCTGGCAGGGCCACTGTCCTCTCTTCACCTGCTGCAGTGGCCTGTGTTCTTAAGAGTGGTGGCCGGAAGATGCTGGACGTTTTCTTAACCTCTTGTTAAGAAGGATCGCATATATTCTCCATCTCCTGCTTTGGTTGGTTGTTTCTTGCTTTTTACTCGTGATGTTTTCTTTTTAGTACGTTTCTCTACCACCCTTGGTGACTTCTGTCTCTGGATGTTCCCACTCCTTTCCTGGTTGCTCCTCTGTCTCCTCCATCTTCTGCACAGTCCTGGGGTGGCAGGGCTGGCTCACTTCCCACCGTTGGCTCCTCCCCAGATGACTTTTCTTGGCCTCTTCTTTGCCCTGCTTTTCTCAGATGTAGAGGTTAGAATCCCCCAGTCCTGCTCTTCAGCCATCTGTGCCCAGCGTGGCCTCGTCTTTCTCTGTGGCTTTGGACGGTCACGCTGTGCACACGGATCTGAGTGCCCATGCCCATGGCATCACACACGGATCTGAGTGCCCGCACCATGGCCTCGCACACGGATCTGAGTGCCCGCGCCCATGGCCTCGCACACGGATCTGAGTGCCCGCGCCCATGGCCTCGCACACGGATCTGAGTGCCCACACCCATGGCCTCACACTCACAACTCCCTTTCCATCCCCTGCAAAACATCTCCACGTGGCAGCAGCATTTCCAGAACAGAACTCACCAGCAGAACCGTCAGAACCCGTCTCTGCTCTTCTCCGTGAACGTCCTGGCTGACGAATGATGCCGTTATTCACCCAAGTCGGAAGCCACGGCATCCTCAAAGTTAGAAACTCTACAATAATTCCTGCCCTCCCACCACCACCCCCACAACCCATGAGTCACTTCAGTCCGGACCTCCGCCTGTCCTCTTCTGGCCCCCACATTGCACTCAGGCCCTCCTCCCTGGCTCTGTGATTTCAGCCGCCTCCTACCTGCTGTCTCTGCCCTCTTCATGGGGCTTTGAGGTTATTTCTGTAAAATACAGGCATTGCCTTCCTCCTAATACACAGTAGGTCTGTGTTTCTTTTTTTTCTTAATTTTTTTTATTTTACTTTAAGTTCTGGGATACGTGTGCAGAACGTGCAGGTTTGTTACATAGGTATACATGTGCCATGGTGGTTTGCTGCACCCATCAACCCGTCATCTAGGTTTGAAGCCCCGCATGTATTAGGTATTTGTCCTAATGCTCTCCCTCCCCTTACCCCCACCCCTTGACAGGCCCCAGTGTGTGATGCTCCCCTCCCTGTGTCCATATGTTCTCATTGTTCAGCTTCCACTTATGAGTGAGAACGTACAGTGTTTGGTTTTCTGTTCCTGTGTTAGTTTGCTGAGGATGATGGTTTCCAGCTTCATCCATGTCCCTGCAAAGGACATGAACTCATTCTTTTTTGTGGCTGCATAGTATTCCATGGTGTATGTGTGCCACAGTTTCTTTATCCCGTCTATCATTGATGGGCATTTAGCTTGGTTGCAAGTCTTTGCTATCGAGTAGAGACTAAATTCCATAACATGACACTCAGCAACCCATCCTCTGTAGGCACATATGCTTCCTGGATGTGTGAACTTGGCACTTTCTGAGTGTAAAATCTTTTTTATTTGTACAGCTGTATAAAACAGCTAGTGATAGAGTCTCTTATAGGATGGTGGCAAGTGGATGAACATCGATAGAGTGTAAGAGTCATGTTAGCACGTAGTAGTCATTGCTTAGTAAATGGAGGTTGCTGATAGTATTATTAGGCAGCACTTTTCTTTTAAGATTTGCCACCTGCGGGAGCCTGTGCTCCAGCTGAAAGGAGCACTTGTGTCTGCAAGCCTCCTGATTTGGTTCTTGGTGCTGGACACTGTCCCACAGGGCTCTGTTCCTCTCCGTGCACCTGACAAAGCACCATGTTTTTACAGGCGGTCCTGTGAACTTTGCTTGCTCAGCGTTTGCTGAGTAGATCTGAGGAAGAAATAAAATGTGTATTCCTAAATGAAATAGCGATTTAAGATACAGCAGTCCATTAAGAACTGCTGTTTGGCCAACCGAATTTGGGGACAGTGAGATCTTTTATACTGGAAGCTAAAATTCAGAAACTCCTTGACTGGTTTGTCTCTATGACTGACTGACTTGAGTTCCAGCAAACTGCCCTCCACATCCCAGTCAACGGGGTCCTATTAGAATGCACATTTCTCCCAGACCTAGTGCCTCCAAGTCCCTTAGCAGTGTCTCTGGGAATCTGCATTTGCAAAGTCTCCCTCCCCTGATGTTTCTCATGCAGCCTAGAGTTTGTAAAGCACTCCAGTAGGTCAAATGGGGAATGCATGGTGTGGTTCAGAGAAACCCGTCTGAGCCCACCTTGTATGTTTAGGGGACCAGCTGTGGAACAATGGTGTGGTTCAGAGAAGCCCGTCTGAGCCCACCTCATATGTTTAGGGGACCAGGTGCAGAACACAGCCCCTTAAGTTTTTCCGTAACTGGCAAAAAAAGTCAGGTAGTTACTATGCATTTTGGAGATACTTGCAAAATTGAAACAAGGGAACATGTAAACGTGAAAACAATTACATTTCAAGCCAGGGTGGGTGGTTTTAAAACCTTTACAAAGAAGAAGTATGGCCTCTATGAAACCTTAGGGGGAGAAGCTGCTTCAGCAGATGAGAATACAGCAACAGTATTTTCCAGACAGTTAAAGCAGGTGACCCACAGGAGCTGTCTCGGGGAAGAGGCGTTTAATCCCGCCACAGGTGTTTGTTTGGAAGGCTGCTGCTCTGTTAGGTTTTGGGGGCCAGCAGCAGGACTGGCTCTGGCTGTCGTAAGTCCATTGGGAATGATTTGGGAAGACTGTTGACCAGAGGCCGGGGAATCGCCTCTCCAGAAGGCTCTGCAGCAGGAACCATAGCAAAGTTCAGGTTTTCCAGCTGCCATTGTGGTGCATGTGACTTCCCGGTGAGCACATTCTCACTGAAGGGGTCCCAAGCCTGCCTTCATCTGCCTGCAGGTCTGGGGTTGACCTGGCTTTTCCTGTAGCAGCAGGCAACAGCTACTACATGGTGGGAATTCTGCAAGAACTGTATGGGGCCCTAACAGGAGGGAGACAGTTGCTAGACACATACCCCCCACCCAGAAATAAAAACGAGGAAGGAAAAAGATAGCCGCCCACCCCAGGTGCTTTCTAAGGCTCTGGAGCTGGACTGCCCAGGTTTAAATCCTTCAGCTGCCACTTGCCGGCCGCTGGATTTCTTCCGGTGCCTCAGTTTACTGATCTCTGAAATGGGGATGAAAACACCCCGTATCTCTTAGGGTTGTTGTGAGGATTGAACGCTTGGAATGGAGTAAGCACTGTGTTTGCTACTGTGTGGGTCTCTCTCCTCTCTCCCCTCCCCACACCCCCCCCATACTCGTCTAATCCCATTTCTGTCATTTCCTTCAGCCTGTTTCCTATGATACCTTGATCCTGGCCACCAGTTTCGCCCACCGTTTTTGGTTTTGTTTTTGGTTTTGTTTTCCCAGGCCTTCGGCTCCAGAGCTGACCCAGGGAGGCTTTGCGCGCTGGGCTTCTTGATAGGCATCTGCAAAGGGAACACGCCCAGAGGGCAGGTGGGGCTTCCAGCGTCCAGGTCTTGCTTGCGGGCACTCACACCGGCTTTGCATTCTGCTGGTGTTTTGCCTGTTCATCTCACACTCAAGCCTGTCAGCATTTGCCATGCCCTTTAACTTTCAGTGGGGACATTTATTAGGCAAGGTTAACACATTCCCTTAAATACTTCTTTTCCTTCTTCTGATTCCAGCCTTTAACTGAGCTGAAGCAGTTGTTCCGATTTTCTTCCTGAAGGAGGTGGAACCCATTTGCCTCCTCATGGTGGGCTTGTAGCCTCCCTCGCCCTGGGTCCCTCCTGCCTCTGCTGCCCAGTGGCATCTCTCACCCCAAGCTCATGCATGCTCGCGCTCTCTCCTGTGATTCGCTCTGAGTGAAGTAATTACATAATTTTAGGAGTTTGATAGAACTGTGTTCCTAGGAAGACACTCAGGTGTCCTCCCAAGCCATAAGCATCTCCCTTTTTCATCCTGGGGCTCTGGGTAGCATAGGTCACTGTCTCGATTACAGTCACCTGTGTCATCGGCTGGGTGGAGCCGTGGTGTGTTTGCAGTGAGAGCACCAGGTAGACCTCTGTGTCCTGCTGAACCGGGGACAAGGGGGTAGCAAGCTGCAGAACTCTTTAAGGTTCCAAAGGGATTCTCAGAAATCTGTTATGAATTTAGATTGTGAGTACGGAAAGTCTTTGTTCTCTTAGAAACGGAAATGTTGATTGCTGTTTAGTTTTATTTTCCTTCATGGTAATTGGCCCCTCATTAACCTGACCTCTGTGGCAATACCGTATTTATGTATAAGAGTCTTACTTTCTTCTCTGGGTGTCTATGGTTGTATTGTTACAATGGTGGTGATTGTGGAGGCCTTGGTTGCAAAATAGGTAACTCATTCACAAAGGCCAAAAAGTCATAAAGGTTTATCTTGGGTCAGATTCTCCCTCCACTCCTGTGCCCCGGCCTCCAGCCAACTGGTTCCTTTCCCTGTGGACACCCACTGTGTTAGTATTTTGCATTTCCTTCCAGATTTATTTTATGCACATATGAATATATGTTATTTCCCCCTTTTAAACAGATGGTAGCATACTATATATGCACAGTGTTCTGCACCCTGCCTTTTATACTCGGCAGTGCATCTTGGAGATCTGTACATCTGAGTATATTAAGAGGTGTCTGATTCTTTTTTATAGCTGCAGAATATTCCTTCATATGGATATACCCAGATTTACTTAAGTGCTTTCCCATAGATGGGGAATTAAGCTTCCTCATGGTTTTTGAGACGAAGGTTCTGGATAAAAATAAACAAGTAGAATCCATACTGACCAGATGCAGCTTAGCCAAAGTCAAGAGATTGAACATGGTCTTGTGTTGTTTGTCGGGGATTTTTCGCTTGATCTTAGCCAAAAGGCCGAGAAGCAATGTGTCAGGATTTTTCTATAAAATGATAAAGGTCTTCAGTGGAACATTCAGCTTTGCCTATGAACTTTTTGCAATCCTCAAATAATCAAGGAGAAGCATTGTGGACATTCTTTTAATAGATTATTTTGCATGCTATTGGGTCTCCTGTCTTGGAAAATAATTAGTCTGAGTCCAGCCAGATAAATGTAGACTCATAAGCTTGGTAAAGGGAAATGAAGAACTTGGTACCCATTATTTAGAATGGGATTTGTTTAGGGTCAGAAACACTTTCCCAGGTGATAAATAACTGACTTTTCCATCAGTTCTTATTTAATAGATGCCTTAATGGGATATATTTGGGGTGGGAGAAGGCATAATTGTAACCTTTTTGAGGGAAAGGTAGCCGACGCATCTGACCTCATAAATACTTGTTTAATTGAATGGGAAAGATGATCAAAGGATTCTAAAGTATGGTAAAGACGGCCCTAGCAATATACTAATGTATACATTGTACTGAAGCGTATGTATTAAAGCCATAATACGATGTGATGTTTGAATTAGCAGAACATTGGAAGATGAAAGTTGTAATTGAGGAAGGAATAAGCCATAAAGTTACTTTTTTTTTTTCTTTTTTTTTTTTTTGAGATGGAATTTTGCTCTTGTTGCCCAGGCTGGAGCGCAGTGGCGTGATCTTGGCTCACTGCAACCTCCACCTCCCAAGTTCAAGTGAGTCTCCTGCCTCAGCCTCCCAAGTAGCTGGGATTACAGGCACCCTCCACCATGCCCAGCTAATTTTTTGTATTTTTAGTAGAGATGAGGTTTTGCCATATTGGGCAGGCTGGTCTTGAACTCCTGACCTCAGGTGATCCGCCCGCCTCAGCCTCCCAATATAAAGTTACTGTTATGCTTCCTTTTGAAGTACTACTTTTAATGACCTTGAAAATGTTATTTGTAGCTAAATGTAAATCTGGAAAGATAAATATATTTAGTAGAGGAATCTAACCTGTTAGCAAAATGTTTGAGTAGCTAAGAAACAAATGCTCTTTGGGTCTGCGGAGGAGAAAATGACCTTGTGTACCAGGAACCTGCCCGGGGACCTGCTTTATTGGACTCTGGGGAATCAATCCCACACCCTTCAGGACGGGCAGAGGCACTTCCACATTGGATGCCTCTGGGGAGAGTCTCTTTACGTTTTGTCTGTTTTGAACATATTCTTTCTTGTTTGATTCCTTTAGCAATTAGGCTAAATGTTGGTCAAGTCTTACAATATTAGACAGAAACAATGTCTATTTATTTAACCTTGTTCAAAAATAAGCCCTGTGAACCTTCTAGCATTCCTTTAAATTCTATATTCTTTAAATTACAGGGGAATTAAACATTTAAAAAGTTAAGACTGACAGTGGTGATAATTGATTTGAGAACCAATCAAAAGTTCAAAATGATGAATGACAATGATAGTATGTGTGTATAAGCACCTGCTGTCCATGTTCAGAGCACCTGAGATACACCAATATATTGGCTTAACTCTAAATTGGGACCCCACGTTTAGCAAGTAAAATACTCCATCTTCACCATGTCTACTTGACGATGAAAAGTCAGAGCCGGTGGAGCTCGCACCAGATTTAGGACCATTTTGTGTTTGGTTGTTGGCATTTAGCTTCGTGAAGTTATGGTTTTGGTGGGGAGGGAGGATGTGATTCAGAATTCTTCAGATGTTATGAGATGACTTGGATGGTAATGGGGCTCACCAGGTTATTTTCTTTTCTCTCTCCTTCCCTTCTTTCCTTCCTTCCTTCCTCCCTCCCTCCCTCTTTCCCCTTTCCTTCCTCCCTTTCCTTCCTTCCTTCCTTCCTTTCTCTTTCTTTCTTTTTCTTTCTTTCCTTCTTTCCTTCTTTCTTTCTTTCTTTCCTTCTTTCTTTCTTTCCTTTCTCTCTTTCTTTCTTTCTTCCTTCCTTCCTTTCTTCCTTTCTTGACAGTGTCTTGCTCTGTCACTTAGGCCAGAGTACAATAGTGCAATCACTGCTCACTGCAACCTCGACCTCCCAGACGTGAGCAGTCCTCCCACCTCAGCCTCCCAAGTTGCTAGGACTTACAGGTGCCTGCTACCACGCCAGGCTAATTTTGTATTTTTTGTAGAGACAAGGTGTCTTCATGTTGGCCAGGCTGATCTCAAACTCCTAGACTCAAGCAATCCTCCTGCCTCGGCCTCCTGAGTAGCTGGGACTACTGGTGCATGCTACCATGCCAGGCTAATTTTGTATTTTTTGTAGAGATGAGGTCTTGCCATGTTACTGAGGCTGATCTTGAACTCCTAGGCTCAAGCAATTTGCTGGCCTTGGCCTCCCAAAGTGCTGGGATTACAGTCATGAGCCACCACACCCGGCCACTGTGTTATCTTCATCTTGGTTCTCAATGAGGAAACCAAGCAGGGCTGGACTAAGGGGTCAGAGTCCATGGGTCACCGTCTATTAATGGAGCTCTGATCTCTTGATTCCTGGTTCAAAGTGTTTTTTTCTTAACTATTGATTTGGTGTCGAATTTTCTTCTTTTAACTAGTTCCAAATTTATTCTCTCCATAGCCAGAGCTCCTTGAAACTTTTGCTGCTGTTAAATCCAGTCTTCTTGTCTTTTTCAGAGTTTCATGGCTGTGAAGCCAGGTCCTCATAAGGCATGACTGTAATTACGAAATAGGATGTGACAGTCATCAGGTCCCACATTTTAGTGGGATCTTTTAGACATTGCTACATAAGTGACTTTTCTATGACATAGCCAAAGTCTACAGGCCACAAACTGAGTTCAAAACAAAGTAACTCCAAACTGATAAGTTGTCAGGTTTCCTAGAGAAGGGCCTTGTCCACGTACACTGCTCATAAACCTTGTTTTTGAGTTTGACTGGTTCCGTTTAGCTGTGATGCTTGACTTTCTTTCATTGAAGGTTGCCTTTACTTGGTGTTAGGTGGAGCATATCATGAAGGCTTAGATGTGGGCCCTGAGGTCCCACCCCAAGCTCCGATACATTCCCTTAACCCCAGAGCTGTTCTTAGGAAAGGGGGATGCTTGTTCTCTCTTTCAGCCAATCCTGCTCCGATGCCAATCTTTTCCTACGGTCCTTCTTCCTCTTTTACTTTTAGGGCAGAGTATCTCTCTTTTTCCAAACCTTCGTTTTCTCTGAACCCCTTTTATTCCTGCCTTTTTATATTTCAAGGAGTTTTGTCTCTGATAAGATTAAAGACTCCTCTAAAGTCATCTCTTCCATATGGCTATTTTGTTTTTGTTTTTGTTTTTTAATGTATAAAGGAATGTTTTTCCCCATGTTAGGGATGCTCTATTATTGTTGTCCTTCTATTTCTTTGTTGGTAAGATCTGTTTGTACCTCTTGTTTCAACTTCTTCCCATGCAGGGCTGCAGACTCCTGTTCCAGAGGTCATTGTTGATGTGGAATCCATGGACATCTTCCCAGTGGGCTGGTGTGAAGCCAATTCTTATCCTTTGACTGCACCACACAAAACAGTCTGTAAGTGGTTCCCAGTTGAGGGGGGGTGGATGACACCAGTGATCTTTGTGAATAAATTGGCAGCTTCATAAAGAAATTATAACCAAGTTCTAAAGAACAAATAAGATTTTTGATTTTCCACCAAGAACCCATGTTTTCATGATCTCGCTTAATCTTTAAGTGTTTGCATGAGATGATGTCACAGGTTGACAAACTTTAACAGTGAGGGACAGTTGAAAGTCACAGAGAGGCAGAGGAAAAATATCTGAAATCATCACTCTCAGTTTTTTATACAATTCATTGTTTTGATGTGAAAAAATATGTTAGATACTATATTATTGTGTTACCATTTCTTTAAAAGAACTGATTTTTCTCATGTAGCTTCTCCTAACAGAATCTTAATTGGTTCCAATAATATACTGACATTCTTATAAACACTTAACCAGGCTAGGCACAGTGCCTCATTCCTATAATCTCAGTACTTTGGGAGGCCAAGGCAGGAGAATGCTTGAGCCCAGGATTTTGAGACCAGCCTGGGCAACATAGTGAGATACTGTATATACGTAAAAAAAGAAGTACATATATAAGTAAATTAGTCAAGCAGAGTGACACGTGTCTCCAGCTACTCTGGAGGCTGAGGTGGGAGGATTGCCTGAGCCCGGGAGGTCAACGCTGCAATGAGCCAAGATGGCAACCAAGCACCAGTAGACTCCAGCGTGGGTGACAGGGTGAGACTCTGTCTCAAAAAATAAATAAAATAAACAGCCTACTCTTAGCACTAACTAATCACTGATATTTCAACTGTACTTTATAAAGTATATTACCACACGTCCCTTTGGTTACAGAAATACCAAATAACCAATATTAACAGTTAACCCAGCAGTAAACGCCCATTCATACATGTGTGCACACACGCACATGCACATTTAAATACATGCAAAAAAAAAATTTTTTTTTTTTTAAAGATGGAGTTTCGCTCTTGTTGCCCAGGCTGGAGTGCAATGGCGCTATCTCGGCTCTCTGCAACCTCCACCTCCCGGGTTCAAGAGATTCTCCTGCCTCAGCCTCCTGAGTAGCTGAGATAACAGGCGTGCGCCACCATGCCCAGCTAATTTTATATTTTTGGTAGAGATGGGGTTTCACCATGTTGGTCAGGCTTGTCTCGAACTTCTGACCTCAAGTGATCCGCCTGCCTTGGCCTCCCAAAGTGCTGGAATTACACTTTGGCCACGCCTGGCTAATAGTGTGTTTTAACATATTTTTGTAGGTTATTGTCACAAAATGGTACCATTTAAAAATCTTCTAACCTAATAAATCATTGCGTTTATTATTCTACCCTAATGCATATCAGAAGTGTTATTTAAAATGATGAGTCCTTAGAGATAACAGGTTTTAACTGTTAAAGAGATTCCGTCTCTGACATTTTCTTGATGGAATTTAGGCACCAACTTTACTTCTTCCTAACAGCCTGTTCTGTGGCCACTTCTGTAGACTCTCACAACGTTGCTGGAAACACAGTTCCATTGCATAGCTGACTTCACATTCCCTGATGGCGACAGAGTTTCAGGGCTCCTCTAGTTAGCATTATTAAGAGCACCAGAGGACATTATGTGTGTGAAACAAGCAGGTAGTTCAGATTAGAGACAGCTGGATTCTATGGGATTCTCCTTTTCCTAAACCATCCTGCCCAATGGATCTGATTCAGTTGGAGTAATCGTTTCCCCTTACTTAAAAATATTTCTAAAACATTGAGTGTACAATAATTATTTTAATCCCAGGGACATTCTTTTCCCCTGTCTCTTAAAATGATGCAGATTCTGGCCAGGCGTGGTGGCTCACGTCTATAATCTCAGCACTTTGGGAGGCCGAGGCGGGTGGATCACCTGAGGTCATGAGCTCGAGACCAGCCCGGCCAGCATGGCACAACCCCATCTCTACTAAAAATACAAAAAATTAACCAGGCATGGTGGTGCATGCCTGTCATTCCAGCTACTCGGAGGGCTGAGGCACGAAAATCGCTTGAATCCGGGAGGCAGAGGTTGCAGTGAACTGAGATCATGCCACTGCACTCCAGCCTGGGTGACAGAGCGATACTCCGCTCTGTCTCACAAAAAAAAAGCTGCAGATTCTGACCTTGCTCAGCCAGCATGGCCAATAGATTCTCCCCAACCTGAGTGTTGTCCTGGGGTTGGGGTTCCAATCCCCTCTGTCCTTGTTGTCCCTCAAACAGAACCTGGTGTCCTAGATCCTCTTCCTCCCCTCTTCACATGGATTTGGGAGGGTGCAAGTGCTTTGGGTTTTTCTGGAGCACAATCATATACAGGTTAAGGTGAACACTGTGAAGTTTCCTCCTCCTTTAGGATTTTGGATCTGTCTGTTGTGCTTGGCTCTTTCCCAGGGGGTCAGGCATCCCCACCCCGCTAACAAAGACCAGGGGAGACAAGTATTCCAAACTCATTTTTCACCTGAGAGATCCTAAGTCTGGACCTTTTTGTAGTAGTAACTGGAATTGAATATCAGATAGTCAAGAGTAGCGGGATCTTATTGAGTATTTTTCTTATTTATTTTTGCTTGCATTTCTTGCACATACATTTTGCTTTAAAGAGGCAAACTCCAACTCCAAACCTGCCAGACTCTAGCAGCTTTAGAAGTTTTGTTGGAATTAATTTATGCTTATGTTGGAAGATGTAGGATTATCTGAGCCAAAGTTAGTAGATGCCAAAAGCTTTGGTCTATTTTTGTTAAGGTGATCTGAATCAGTTACAAATATAAACTGGAAATGTTCTTATCCAAAGAAATCACTATTTGCTCATTTATGTCAATATTTGACCAGGCGTATTTGCGAGCTACTGGTTCTCCTTTTGTGAATAACATGTTTTAGTTGAAATGCATGCCTCTGACAGCACCTTGGGAGTGTGCTGTGATAGTAACATGATTTGCTTCATCACAATTTTTATTGGAAAAAAATCATTCCGGATAACTGCTTGCAACAATTGATCTGAACATGTGTGCTAATGTGAGGTACAACAGGTGTACTCTTTTGCTTTCTTAAATGCACATTTAAAAATAAAGTAGCTAGTGTAATGATAAGATTAAATGAACGAAGTTGTACTAAGATCTGACATCTGGTGAGTTAACGTCTATCCTATGCTAGAAGAAACTGATAGGAAATTGTGGCATGAATGACGTAACTTTTCAGCATTTAAATTGCTACTTTAAAATGGGTACCTCTTTGCTTTATAACCTATTTTTAAAAATGGACTTGCCCCACTAACAAAGCTGATTTTCTTTTTCCGTTTTGCCTTTTCTACAGCACAAAAGAAGAGAAAGATTGCAGTCGTGCAACCAGAGAAACAGTACGTGCTTTTTTCCCCTCCAGACTACACTGTATACCGATAAACTGTAGTGTCTTTATGGAGGATGGGAAGCATGGCTGTTTTTATTGGAGTTATCTAACAAATAGCACCCTAGTAGAGGTAGCAGTAAAACATAGTGACTGTTATTTGTTATGTACCTGTTATGTGCAAGACACAGTGCCTGCTCCCCAAGGCACTCGCAATCCAGATTCCCATGGCTCACTTTTTATTCCATTTCGACATACCTGGGGAGTGTCCCAGACCTACACACTGAGAGAAATCGCTGTCTGTGTCTATAGTTCTCAGCGTCTGCAGGGGCCCCACGTGGCAGGTGCAGTTTCGAGTCGCAGCCCCTCACCACACTCAGAATGCTGCTGCTTACTCACCTCTCCTAGAGTAGCCCAGGCTTGGGAGGCAGAAAACTTCAGTCCAACCCCAGCTCTGCTGAGTGAACCTGAGCAAGTGGCATTAATTCTCTGCCCCTCAGTGCCCTGGCTTGTAAAATACAATTTGGGGGTACTTACAAAGATTAAATTAGATTCCATTTGAAAAGAAGTGTAGGCCTTAAGTTGTAGGCTGAACAAATACAGATTATGCCCTGTCCCCCATTTCAGTCGTGATTTTCTGTGGAAACAGGGTGTCCCCCATTTCAATTGTGACTTTATGTGGAAAGAGGGTGTTAGCAAAGCGTGTCCAGGCAGGCAGTGTGTTTTTGAATAGTTGTGACTGCTAGTAACATTTGTAGATATTGAAAAATAATTTAAAATACGCCAAAATGTACATTCCAGGCCAAGGGATTCTGCTTTCTTAAGTAAATAAAAATACACTGATGGAAAGACAGGTGAAAACAGCATTTTTCACTTGCGGTAGTCGAGTTTAAATTTAAATAAGATGAAATTGAACTGGAACTGCACGATTTGAATGAGAAGAGCAGCTCTGTAGGTATTTTTTTGTGGGTTTGGTTCTAAATGCAGTTTATCTGGCTCATAACCAGACTCCACGTTATCCGCCTGATGGGGAAGTAGAGAGATTTCATAACACGCCTGTGACCGAATCCAAACTTGAATCCATCACTCCTTAAATGCACAGCCCGTGGATTAACGGTTCTCACCTTTCTCATGCATCAGTCACTTAGAGAGCTTGGAGCACACAGATTGCTGGGCCCCATCCTCAAAATTTCTGATTCAGAATGTCCGAGATGGGGCCCAAGAATCTGCATTTCTAACAAGTTCACAGGTAGCGTCAATGCTGTGGGCCTGGGGACCCCTCTTGGAGAACCACTCCATAGATGGCCTTGCTAAGATCTCTTGTAAGGGTTGACTTTGAGCTTAAGGAGCTTTTCAACCATGTGGTTTCTATGCCACCAACCTAGACACCCCTGTGAAACCTAGTTCACCTCTTTTCCCCTAAGGCTACATTGTAAAACACATATTTATTCAGCAACATTTTTACTGAACTATAACAGAGCTCTGTCCTGGAATAAGCCTATGTTACATTTTAAGATATGCCAGTTTATAGATTTTCTTTTAAGGCCTTATTTTTAGTGTGGCCATGACTCCCGCGGGCCCGGAGGTCAGAAATCAAAGGTTAGTGGAAAGTGGTTTTCAATTAGACATCGAAGTGGAAAAGTCTGACTTTAATCAAATGTAAGATAATGTTTCTTCATGTTTAAAATATAATTGAAGGCAGTATTACAATTCCATAGCAAGAGATAAGGCCAGAAGCGACCTGGGAGAAACTCACTGATCAGGACCAGCTGCTCAGGGGCAGGTGTCTCAGGCTTTCTTGGGCCATCCAAAGAATTGGACAACAACTTTTCTGAAATGCTGTTTTCATCTGGTCTTACTGGCATTGCTCCCATACACACATTCTATTCTATGGTCCTCTTATCTGAGATTTCTGGAAGAGCCCTTTTAAATTATGGTAAGACTTTGGAATGTAGTAGTTCCTTCTAAAGCTTGTGGTCCCTGATAGTTTTATTTTCTCTGTTGACAGATTGCCGCCCACAGTGCCTGTTAAGAAAATACCTCATGACCTTTGTTTATTCCCTCACCTGGACACCACAGGTAATCAGTCCCATTTAGGGGGTCTCTGTGCCTTCCCACCGTGCAGCCGGGAGCAGAGACATGTATAGGTTTCTAGGTCGATATGAATACATCTCAACGTTGAGCCTATTCTGTTTTTCTCCATTGCCACTCAGGAACGGATACCTACTTTTTAAAAAGAAAAATTTCTAAGCTAAATTCTCTGTGCCTCTTCTTTTCTGCTTCTTGGCCAGTAGCTCTAGATAGTTCTAGTCTATAGAAAAAGGGTTTATGTGTGACTTGCAAATTAGGAGCCAAATTAGGGCTGCATATCATGGGGAAAAGGAAAGAGTTGAAAATATCATCTCATTAGGCAATTTCTTTTTTGATATTTTATTTCCGTTCCACTTGCATTTTTCCACTTGCTGTTAGTATTTAAGTCGCCCCGAGCTTTTGAATTGTTCCTTAAAACCCTCTAAAGAGCTGGTTGTGAATAATATATGTTTTTTAATGTGTAAAGTCTTACATCTTACAATAATCTTTGGAAATACATTTGTGAGCTACCCTCTGACCATCAAGTCTGGTAATAGACATGTTTGTACATTATCATACTTGATTAAAAAGTCTATTCTCTAAGCCAAAATGAAACCTGCTCTGAATTCCAGGATTAAAACCAACATGTCATGGAAGAATCCTACTAGGAGATTATCTTGGTAGTAAAGAGCAGTTTTATAAGTAGCTTTAACTAAAATTTTGTTTTTCTGCAGGCCTGGTAATCGAAAGGCAGAGTAATCCTACCAAAAAATTTCCATGTAAATGCAGCTGTGGACTTCATTATTTTTCCTGTTTTATATAATTCAAACTTTAGAATGGTTTTAAAAGAACCATGACAGCTACCCTTTCATAGTCTATAATTGTAATTTTACTCCTTTTCTTTTATATCCAGAAGAATAACATTTCTGCTTCCTACCTCTGCTGGTTCCTAGTTGAAGTCTTTATGAGAGCAAGCCTTCCTAGACTGTTAAATTACCATCCCAGATTAATAGCAGTGGTTTTGCAGAAATTCCACTGTGAGTGTTGCTTAGCTTGGAGCTTGGGTAGAGTCAGGGTGGGGGCGGTGACTCCCTTAGCCAAAAGTGAAACCTCATTCTACATTTATAGACATTAAGAAACTTTTGGCCCAGCATGGTGGCTCATGCCTGTAATTCCAGCACTTTGGAAGGCTGAAGCAGGCAGATTGCTTGAGCTCAGGAGTTCGAGGCCAGCCTGGCCAACATGGTGAGACCTTGTCTCTACTAAAAATACAAAAATTAGCCGGGCATGGTGGTGCATGCCTGTGATCCCACCTACTTAGGAGGCTCAGGCAGGAGAATTGCTTGAACCCAGGTGGTGGAGGTTGCAGTGAGCTGAGATTGCACCACTGCATTCCAGCCTGGGCAACAAAGTGAGACCCTGTCTCAAAAACAAAACAAAACAAAAAACTTTCTTCTTTTTTTGAGACAGAGTTTTGCTCTTTTCACCCAGGATGGATTGATTACAGGCGCATGCTACCATGCCCGGCTAATTTTTGTATTTTTAGTAGAGATGAGGTCTCACCATGTTGGCCAGGCTGATCTGGAACTCCTGACCTCAGGTGATCCACCCACCTCGGCCTCCCAAAGTGCTAGGATTATAGGCATGAGCCACCACCTGTAAGAAAGAAACTTTAGATTGAGGTCTTATCATTTAATTATTCTGCTTGCCCATGGCATTGGAGACAGCAAGATCAGCAGCTCTCACTATTCCCTTTCTGAGTTGAAAGAAGAATACAGGTAATGCACACTTAAGCTGCAGTGAGGTCTACTTCACCGTCTTCAGACTGGCAGAGTGGAGAAGTGCAACAGGAACCATTGTTGGGGTAGATGTAGGACTACAGGAGCCCTTCCATGGTGCTAACAAGAGTGTCAATTGGGGTAGTCACTGTGGAGAATGGCGTGGCCATGTCTAGTAAAACTGAAGATACAGATGCGCAGACCTGTGGCCTACCTGGCCCACTCTTCTTACTCACCTGCAAGACTCTGTTGCCCACGTGTAGAAGATTTTCACAATCATATTCATGAAAGCACTGTTGACAGTCCTGAAAAAGTAGAAACAACTAAATATCCAGCAGTAAGAGACTAGACAGCTAAATGATGCTACATTAATTCAATAGAGTCAAAGAAGTAAAAAAATGAATGAACTTTCTAGATCCGCATTTACCAACTTGGATATATCTCAGAAACTTCTTGTTAAGCAAACAAACAATATCTTGCAGGAAATAATTTATGGAATATGTTTAATATATCATATATTGTTTGTAGGCACATGCATGCTTCTGTGTGTGGTGAAGTTGACACACTTGTGTGGCATGATGAACACCAGATTCATACAATCTGGAAAAATGCATCAGAATTTCCAAGGTATCATTAAGGATATAAAATGTCCTGCTATTAGGACACAGCGCCTCTTTCTCAAAAGAAGAAAATCATCTGTTTTTCTCTGCTGCTTTGTCACGATTTGGAACTAGAGTGTGGCCTCCTAATTACAGTTCTAACGACACTGGCTGTCACGGTTATTGTGTTCATTTTGGGTTCCATTGCTTTTATTACGCCTGACTCCCCATCAGCCAAGACCTCGGACAGCTCTGTGTGGTCCTTTTCCCTGACCATGTGGATGAAGCAAGGGTCTAGGGGTCCCCTAGGGTCTGGGGCTGTGGTCCTAAGCATGGACTATGTTGCTGTCCCCTGCAGGAACCGTCAACGGGAAATACTGCTGTCCTCAGCTCTTCATCAACCACAGGTGTTTCTCAGGCCCTTACCTGAACAAAGGAAGGATTGCAGAGCTACCTCAGTCGGTGGGACCGGGCAAATGCGTGCTGGTTCTTAAAGAGGTAAAGCCCGTGCACAATCACCTTGGCTTATTTTAACAGGATTTTTTAAAAAGCTGTGGGCTCAGTTTCTGAAGGAGGGAATAGGCATTGGAAGCAGTTCAGCTGGCATTTACCGAGACCTCCGTTCTCTCCATCCTGTGGGCTGAAGCCAGAGATACACAAATGGAAAAATGATGCTCTGACCCATGAAAGGCTCCCCATCTAGAGGGAGGGACACACATCTGCCTTCCCTCGAATTAGGGGGAAAAGTTGCACTAGATTTGAATGAAGTGCTTTGGGAAGACAGAGGGAAGATTGTGTGTGGAGTGAGGGCCTAGGACTGGAGTTGAGGTTTCCAAAGAGGTAAACCAGCCTGGAATGGCACAGAGGACTTCATGAGGCAGCAGAGGGTGTTAATCACCGAGAATGGCGCTCCTTGGCCGGGTCATGGTGCTGTGCCATCTTTTTGTTTCATCCATCTCTTCCGAGCACCTGGTACCTGCACACGGGAGGTAATGGTAAGTATTTCAATGGTCTCCAGGTACTTTGACGAGGTTTGTGTCATGGGTCACATCCAGGCCCATCACTTGGAGGCTGTGGCTCCCCATTTCTTCTGCTGCCTTCGGGCGACGACCTGCAGAGACAGGTGAATCCTGAGGATGTTGATGAAGGCTTCTTCTCCATTGCATTTTTCTAGCATAGCCTCAGACAGTGCTTGGAGACAGATTGGAAATTTGGAATAGTTTCCAAACTCTTCCCGGAACTCTATCTCTGCTCTTTTCTTACACGTATCCGTACTTTCTCTGAAGAAAGAGGATACCAAATGGATATTCTCTATTGCCACCGTACCATGATGAATGTTTCTTAAAATTCTGCAGGCACAGCAATCCATTGATCCATTGAACAAATGTTTGTCAGGTAACTTTGAGGAGCCAGGCACCATCGGAAGCATTGGATTAAAAAAGAAATAGGCTCTGCCTTCTGCCTGTTGGGGTTTCCTGCTCTTGTTAGGGAGATGATGTAATCCTCAGCTTGATGTACAGTTGGGCGTCCGAGAGAGAGGCAGGAACACAGTGTCCTGGGAGTAGAGTGCAGGACAAATATATGGCAAG
This sequence comes from Homo sapiens, assembly GCF_000001405.40. Taxonomy (NCBI): domain Eukaryota; kingdom Metazoa; phylum Chordata; class Mammalia; order Primates; family Hominidae; genus Homo; species Homo sapiens. The sequence continues at coordinate 7,196,456 of NC_000010.11, read as the reverse complement.
TGACATTTCATCTGGCTTAGGCAGAGTGTGTAGGATCCTGATTGCACAGCGTGGGCATGGCCACACAGGTGGGCATTCAAGGTGTGTTTCAGAAAGGAAAGTCAGGTATGGCTGGAGCTTAGGAACTTAGGCTGGAGATAAACCGTGGCATAAAAGGGTGCATTAGATTTTGAGAAGAAAAACAGGAAGCTGGCCTGCCTTGATGCTTCAGTGTGAGGTTGGATGGAGCAAATTGGATGGGGCCTGCTTGTGAAAGGCCTTCTCTGATATTTTAAGTGATTTGGACTTGAATCTATGGATAGGGCACCCTCAGAGGGATGCGAGACTCAAGCTTTCCCTCCACACGAGAGCCTCGGTGTGATTTCAAATATCATTTCACTTGAGGAGAAAGAGGCCATTGAAGGGAAGTCAGAGGGCATTTTCTCTTCCTGGTCATCAGTGGTATTCGTAGTTAAAGACCTTTTTATTTAAAAAAACATCTGCTTGAGAGAGGAAGTAGAGGTTACAGTTTAGAAGAAACCTGTCAGAAATCGATAAGGCTATTGTTGTGGTCATTTATTTGGGAGCATGTAGAATGTTAAGCAGGTGGTCCCTGGCCCACATGAGCGTCCAGTCGATGGGAAAGATGAGTATGTAAATAGAAGGTAGCCACGTGGTCCCAGGTTCCAGGACAGGACCTGGCATGCACACTGTGAGATCACACCGGAGGCATCTGCAATCTGTGGGGACTGCGGAACAGGTGGCCTGCCCCTGGTAGGGAGAGGAGCAGGAACAAGGCTGGGGCATCTGGGGTGCGGGTGATGAAGGAGGGAAGAGGAGAGGATCCTCACAGCACCTGAAATGTGCAGACTGCAAGGGATGGACCCAGAAAGGGCCCTTGTTCGTGTTTAGAGTCTGTTGCAGGCCTGGCCATTGTACCAGGGCCTTCATACACATCTTCATTTAGCAGCAGAATGGAGCTGCCTTCCTTGTAAATAGCTCATTTCTGCATTTGGTCTTGAAATCGAACAGTACGCATCTCACTAAGCCTAAGTGGCAAGTAGATTCCATATATGAGAAATTCACAGCTAAAGAGAAAGGGTGATTGAGTTGGGAGGGCCACACCCTGGGAAGGGCTCCGCAGTGTGGTTAAGCAGCAGGACCGCTAGTTAATGCTAAGTGAATAAATTGGCACAGATTGGAGATCCCTGCAGATACTAAACTCAATCCAAACAGAAATCAAGCCAGGATTACACATAAGAATTTCTGCCACCATCGGAAATAGGACCCTAGAGTGAGAATTGACTTTCTTCCGTCTGCCACAGCTGTCAGTCTGTGAATGGATTTCCACTAGGGCAATGTTGTCTGCCTGTATTTCTGCCTGTTTTTGTTGTGAGTGATAGGATGAGGACACAACAACTGACAAAAATACGGAGAGCTGATGGGCTTCTTCGAAGCTGCCTGCAAGCCTGTTTCACGTGACGTGTTCCGTTGTTGAAATGACACCTTCCCTTATCTGCCAGCTCTGTTAACACACAAGATGACCTTGGCTTCAGCCTGTCTTGAGGGGCTGGCTGTTTTACTTTACTAAATGATTTGTTTAAGTCAGAAGTGGTTATCCCTGATCAATTCTCCGATAAGTGCCAGCGGCCAAATTTAAAGCCGAGTCCAGAGCAGTTTTCTAATGACAAAACTAGTTTTTTGCTGATGTTTGAAAAATGCATGTGGCAGGAAGAAAGAAAAACAAAACAAAACAAAAAAGTAGGTGAGTGCTTCAGTTCTGTGAGTGCAAGAAAAATGTAAGTGCCACCAAGCTAATATTTACGCTAATGCTCCTCTTTCAGTACCAGAGCCTCTGTAGCTTCAAATTTCATTTTAGTTAAAGAGAACGAGGTAATGGAAGTAAAGACAGAGTGCATTGCTTTTCCTGGCCATCGGTGTTATTAGGAACTTGAACACTTTATGTGTAGGAGATGTGCAGTGAGAGCGGTTCACCCTGATCTGTTCTGCCAGAAATAGACGTCTCGGGGTGTGGATGCAGACATGGTCTTTGGCAAGGCTCAGTGCAGGCTGCAGAGTCCAGTTCTGGGTTCTGTCTGAGTGGGCCGCTTTATAAGAGAGGACGAAGTTTCTGGCAAAAGTGGTCTTTAATGCATGGCTCTACTCACTTGATGGGTGTTAGAGTTGAGTGGGGTTTGGCAGGACCACGAGCGTGTCTGGCCTCAATTCGAGGGGGTGCAGCGAGGGGAGGTAGGGGACCTGGGAGAAGCTGGAACCAGAGTCACTCAATGGTCCACTGAGGTCCAGACGTACCCCATAAGCAAACTCAGAACGAAGCAGGCCTTGGCGTGGAGGCACAGGCCCAGCTGGTGACCGCCCCTCACATGCTGGGCCTTTTACAGGATGCCCATGCCCAGTTGCATGGAGGGTGGAGTTGTTAGGCACAGGCAGTGGTGATGCTGTTTATCCTAAGTCACGTGTCCATGCTCAGTAGGGTCATTGTCCATTGGGAGCATCTTTTTCTATCCCAAATCCTTCTACCCCAACCTCTCCCGGAGTACCAGGGTCCCCAAAAGAGAGATAAACCATGATCTATGTCATATCAGGAGATTGCTCGCCTCCTATGACCAAAAGGGTCTTGTCGGCTGTTGCGTTCCTTTGCATTGCACGAGGTGTTCAGGAAATTTTTGCCTTGTAACTTACATACCATCTCATGAATCACCAGGCCTGTAGTCCTCACTTTATAGACAGTGTATCAGGCTAGTGTCTGTGTGTGAAAGAGAAAGCAAACCAGTGAGCCAGCCTGGGCACAAGAGGCCAACGGGGAGCGGAACATCTAATCTATTTACTCCTGTCCGTGGGTCCTGGAGTGACTGTTTCAGCTGCAGACACAGACCCATGATGAAGGTGAGAGCAGACCAGCCAAGCGCTCCTGGCAGAAACGACTCTGAAAACACGCACCTGGGTAGGGCGATGGAGCCTCTGCCTTCACAGGGACTCCACACATCATGGTGGGGGGACATTGTCCTTGGAGAAAATCCCAGGGTGGCTCTCAGAGACTTGGGGAGCCTTGTGGTTTTTCTTAGAATTTATTTGGCTTAAAATATCAGTATGTAAATGTCAGTGACAGTATCTAACTTCTGTTTTTCAGAAAAAAAGAGAAACATGCCTTTCATGTGGGCCATCTGTGGGCACCCCTTTGTGGGTTTTCCGCATGAGCTTCAGGGGTGCTGAGCAGGCAGGGGCTCTCCACTTGTGTTTGCTCGGCAGCAGACCTGGCCTGTCCTGTGTGCTGCTTTTTGGCAGTCCAGGTTCAGGAGCTTAAGAGAGGAACGTTTATAGAAAGGAAATCGATGAGCTGTAACCTTCTATAGAAAGGTAGAAATAGAACGCCTGATTTTCTGCTCTCTTTTTTCTTCTTTTGGTGCTTAAGAGTTCAGAGAAAGCCCCAGGAAGCCTGGCACCCAGGATGCTTTGCAATGAGGCGCTTCTCAGGGCTTGTTTTTTTGCTCCAGTGTAACTCTCCACCCCGTTTGCTGAGATGCTGGTGAGACCAGGGCACTCAGCTGAGGTCCAAAGACTGGGTGTGAAGGCGTAGACCAGCAGAATCAAAGAAGTAGTGCGGCACCCCTGAACCAGAATGCGGTGTGCCCCGGACCCCCGGCCCTGAGTCAGAGACGCCCCACTGCAAATAGTGATGTGACCTCCGACCCCCAAAGGGCTCAGGTGACTCTGGCTCCTGGTCACCTGCAGTTTGGGATCTTTCCAGTGGGACCTGGCGGTTTGGGATTTGGCCTCAGCTGTTATTTACGGTTTCGATTTCTGCCCCTGTGGCTGATGCATTAAGCGATTTCCCTCCGTGTTTTTGTTTGGGGTGTCTGGTTCTCACATCTGGGGAGTCTGTCATGTGCTGTTTGAATTTCCCCTTCATTGTGGAGCTCTGAGCATTTGTCCTGGGCTATCACTCACAACAACATGTACCTAAAAACTAGAAAGCTTTCTGGTCGGAATCCTGAAAGTCGGCTGCCCCAAGCAGCCTTCAGTGTTCATAGACTTGGTGGTAGGAGAAGAGCTTTCATTCTTCGAAGCAGTCGTAAGTTTATCGGTAACACCCAGGGGAGGAGGTGTTGAGGGAGTAGGAATGACGATCTCGTATTGAGGACTTTTCCATGTGATATTGGACAGAGGGAATGTCTTACCCAGCTGACCTCAGCGAAGTCAGTCCTCGGAATCAAAGACAGATGCAGACAGGCCTCTTGAAGATACTGTGCTGTGTTTTTGTTGCTGCTGTTTTCAATTTATGCTGAACATTAGTTAACCCACTAAGAATAATGTGCCAGGCTTACGGGTGGGTGTGAACTTGAACACACTCACATGGTCTGGGGTGCTGAGGGAAGGTTGGCAAAGGAAAAGTGCACATTTTTTTTTTTGCATGTCAGGCTTTTCTTTATTATTTTCTCATAGAGAAGACAAGATAAATTTGATGAACTTTCTTATCATAGCATAGGATAAGATTTTGTAGCAATGAAAAGCAATAGCAAATGATAACTCCTGAGCCTCCATTCATGTAGATTATATGGCATCAAATACTTGGAGTGAATTTATTGTTAATTTTTAGATGAACAGAATAATTTAATTTCAGAGCCCATATTGAAATTATTGAACTAATTCAAAAAATATCTATAGAGCACCTACTCTTGCCAGTTATGGTTGTATCTGCCATGGATACAGCAGCAAACAGAATGAAGTCCCTGATTTCCTGCTGCTTATGTCTTAGTGGGGGTGGATGGTGAACAAATAAGCCAATTACGGAATAATCCTATACTAATAATAAGACAAGTTATCCATGAGAGGCCAGAGAATGAAGGGAGGAATGTGCTGTGTACAGAGGATACTCGCAGAGACCTTTCTGATACGGACTTTGGAGTAAAGACCCGGATGGGGAGGGATGGTCTGGAAGGGTTTCCCCAGGAAGAACAATCCTAAGAGAAGAACAGAGCAGAGGAAAGGCCTGATCTGACCTGTTGAAAGGATCGCCCTGGCGGTTGTTGGGAGGTGAGGCTCTCAGAGCGTGAGGTGGAAGACAGGGAAGCCCCTGCCGGCAGGGTGAGAATAGACCCAGAGCTGCCCAGCGTTTCGGCCATGTGCTCTCACCAGGCATCTGGATAAGACAGTTTCAGGGACATTGTGGACACAGAAAAGCCCCATTGGATTGGGTTCCAGAGAGGACTGAAGAAGAGGAAAAGGCGCTGTTGAGTGTAGACTCTTCTTAAGGATTTTACTGTAAAAGAGCTGAGAAATGAGGTGGGGGAATGTGTTAGTTCGTTTTCACATTGGTGATCAAGACATACCTGAGACTGGGCAATTTATAAAGGAAAAGAGGTTTAAGGGACTCACAGATCCACATGGCTGGGGAGGCCTCACAATCATGGCAGACGGCAAAAGGCACGTCTTACATGGCAGCAGACGAGAGAATGGGAGCCAAGCAAAAAGGGGAACTCCTTATAAAACCATCAGATCTCATGAGACTTATTCACTACCACGAGAACATTATGGGGGAAACCACCCCTACAATTCAATTACCTCCCACAAGGTTCCTCCCACAACACATGGGAATTATGGGAGCTACAATTCAAGGTGAGATTTGGGTGGGGTCACAGCCAAACCATATCAGTGGAGGAAGATGAGACACCTAAGGTCCTATTAGTTTGGGGGCAGGGGCAGGCTCCCTGCTACCCTCTCTGATCAAGCACATAATGAACTGAACTCCAGTGTTTTGCAAAGCACAATAATTCAGTCTAACTGTGGCTAGTCATAGCAGCTGTCCACTTAGTTATTTTCATTAGGTAACTATAATACATGACATTGTCATGTGCACAGAAATTATTCAGCTCACAATTCCAAAGTTTTATAGAGAGCTTGTTGAATTTGGAGACGGATGATGTGGCATCAAGAAAAGCCAAGGGAAAAACATTCAATATCCGATGCTTTTCATAATTTAATTGCTGCCTGCTCCCAGGCTGAATTGAACTCCAGAAGGCATTTTCTTTTCGCAGTCACAAAATGCATCTCGATATGCAGCAAATAACATGCAGCTCTGGGGTTTTCTCAGCGAAACCCAATGAAAAGAATCTGTTGAAATTTTATTGTCTGTTGATAAACACTGTGTGCGTTATTGCAGTCAGTACTAATTAGATTTATTTTTAAACTGAGTTTCTGTAAATTGTACTGACAGTAAACAATAAAATCAGATGATTATTCTAATACAGAAAACACAAACGCAACAAAACTGCCGGTACCGCCTTGTCATGGCTTTTTAGCACCTTGGCAAGCCACATTCTCTTGGTGGGTGGCTTTGAGGCCCTTGGAACATAGCAAGATGTTACCCAGGCAGAGAAAAGGCCGTCGCCGGGCTGACCGCGTAGTGTAAAGTATTTTAAGAGTGAATCCTTAGTTACAACTTGAGAAAGCTTTGTTGTTTTCAAATAAATCAGGGTGCAAACCAAGCTGGTTACGTTCCAGAACACAACAGACCCGTGAAAATTGTGACAAGCAAATTCCATCCACATTCTCCCATCTCCTTCCATTTATTTTGTAATAGTCTCCATTAAAAGATAGTGCGTGTTTAGGCACTAGTGCCAGACTCCCATCTCACTCAGGTGTATCTCTTGCTCTCCCAACGGTATTTTGCTCTGAAATCCAAAATGTGAGCTCCATGCCTGGCGTGCTCCTTCCAACTTCCGCACCCGGACGGCCTGCAGGAGGCATGGGCACTGCGTGCTCCCCCGTCTTGTTCCTGCTACTGTCACTCAGTGGAGCTTCACAGAGGATCATTTCATGAAACTCCACACCATAGGCCTCTGCTTTGCACTCTCACGTTCTGTAAGGTCTTTATCCAAACAGCAGCAGCCCAGGAATGTGCCAGAACTCATCAATGTTAATCATTAATGATGATTTGCTTTTTGAAAGGTGAGCACCTTAGGGGTCTGAGGTCCTTGTCCCTTTCATTAGAGAAACTCATTGAGGTTAACAGGAACATCGTATCTCCCCAGGGTCAGCAGCTGGAACTCTTAGAAATGCCTGCTCTTTCTGAGCCCCATGGTAGACACATGCTTGTTTTCTTGGACTTGGGAGTGAGGGGTGGATGGGGGAAATATGATACTGGATGGCGCTGGATATTCCAGACTCTCTTTTAAAATATTCACATTTCAGAGGGTTGCCCTAGTATTAAATGTCCATGAATTGAGCCTGCAAGAGGAGAGTTTCACACAATTTGTTACCCTCCTTGCAAGCATGTGAAGCCTCTCCAGAAGTGTTGGCATGAGTAGATTGTCTCCGTTTCATTAGTTCCTTATGAAATCTGTAAAAATAGAATGAAATTCTCAGTAGCCTATCCAACTGAAGAGTAATCCTGTTGAAGTACAATAAATTGCTCTTTGGTGAAAATGGTTCAGCTTTTCTGCAACTAGAAGAGTTAATGGGAGTCTGCCACCCCCTCTAGAGAGTGGTTCACACTTTTCTAGCCAGAGAGATTGTATTTTACCACGCTTTTTGTCCATGGATGGTGAAACAACTCAGTGTTAGCCTGGCAAGTGTTCTATCAGACTTAATCACGTTTCTTCACTTCATGTGGGTGTAGTGGCGAGCTGTTCCTAAATGTCAGTGGTGTGGTTTTCAAAGCATCCTTGTGTTAGTAGGAATGAATGCAATTGCAGCTCAGTCTGCTTATTTTTTTCCCCAAAAGGTTCTTAGCATGATAATCAACGCAGCCTACAAGCCTGGAAGGGTATTAAGAGAATTACAGCTGGTAGAAGATCCCCACTGGAATTTCCAGGAAGAGACGCTGAAGGCCAAGTAAGTGTTTTCAATTCTGGAAAGCAAGGGTTTTTGTAATACTTCCCCATGCTACTTTGAACCTTGCCACTTCTCTTTGTGACACAGCCCTGAGAAATGGAACAAACTGAAGGACGTTCGTTCTGCAGTTCTATGGGCGACACGTAAATTTCTTGGCATTTTTGCCATACAGCGTTGCCTTAAGCCTTAGGATTCCTAAGGTGAAGTAGAGATTTCCTTAACTAATATTTTATTATGCTAAACATTCAGCATCATAAAAACTTGGTATGTTTCAGGACCAATAGGTTATTTGAGCAAAAGGGGGAAAATTGTAAAGAGGATATCCCTCATCATTATTATACTATGTTCATAAACAGCTCTTCATTTTTGATATTATATAGACTATGCTAAATGCAAATGCTCTCTTTTCTGGCAGTTGACAGTTCTCAAAGATAAAAGGAACCCGTGCATGTTTGGTCTGGGTTAAGTAAATGGCAGCAAAATCTGGGTTGGCGTGGAGTCAAGTAACTTTCTTTTATTTGGAAATAGGCTAATTGGAAAGGTGACATTTTTGCTTTCTTTAGGTTTCTTGACCTCTGAAATTGAGAGCAGGAGCCGTATCAATGTACTTGAACTTGGTTGTTTAGGCACATAGAAAAAGATCCGTTTCTAAGATAATTTTATGTTGAATAATTGTTTAGAGTGCTTGAGAGGACTTTTAATATTCATCTATGGGTTTCAAATAGAATAGGTTTTACTAGTTGACTTCTTAATGGTCATTGAGATGTAACATTTGAGAAATGATGTTTTTTTAAAAGAGTAAAACAGTTTTCAGTGGCTAGAGGATATCTAAGCCTCCTTTAGAGAAGGCACCTGCCCTATTCATAGTGAAAATTGAGAAATATGAAATAATTTGTATGATCGGTAATATTTTCCTCTATAGTTAACTTATACTAGTACTGTGACTGAAGATGTTTAGAGATTGTGCCACACTCAACATTCATTGCCAGCAATCCACTTAGCATTCCTGGTGTCATTTTTGAACAGCTCTGGGGTTTTAGATTCAGTAAAACTTATTTATGGTCTAATCATAATCTGCCAAATCACCAAAGTGGAAGAGAATATATGTAAATAAGAAGAGGGTTTATTTGCAGAAAATGGCAGGCCAATTAACGATGCTGCTACATTTCATCATTTCCTTCTTTCTCAAGAAATATTTAAGTGAGCTTCACCTATAGCTCAGAGAAAAACATGTTTTTCTAATATTTCATATTTTTCTGCTTTAAAGAGATCATTAGCAGTAGTGGCACATTTTCTTATAAGTTTGTAGTAGTAGTGGGGGCAGAAAACATAAGCAAGTGTTTATAATGGAGAAATCCTTCTTATTTTAAAACTTTTCTGCAAAATTCAATACAGTCCACGTACACCTAATGGACACAGATATAATAAAAGTACAAAAATCTTAGCTCCCATTAAAACCTTCCCTGCCTCTAAATAAGCCAGAAACTCGCTCCCGCTCCACAGTGAGAGGAAGTTCATTTTGCAAGTGTTTGCACTAGTTTTCATGTTACCAAGTCGATCAGAGCTTTTTATTAAATCCAGCCTGATACAATCAAAACAGACATGGTGAAACCCAGCTCTACTGAATTGTAAAGGCAGCATATTACCTATTATATCAAATATGACAAAAAGTTCCATGGCAAACTCTTACACAGCAACTTCTAATGAGAAAATGTCTGTCTGAACTGGGTTTCAACTGTGCGAGATCATAGCAGCGTCTCAAAGCAGCTGCTAATGATGACAGCTTTACAGTCAGCGGGAGCTCTCCTGCTCTGATACTGTGTGTTGAGTCACCTCTTCCCTTCTGATGTGAAATGACAACTTTTTAGATCTTGACAACTTTGCTATTTTCTTTGGTGCAAATGGGAGGAGAGAGAGCTGGCATCTTCCCATTTAGCTGAAAGGAAGGCATGTTTTCTGTCATGAATAAATTAACGTACAAGAGGAGAGACTCACATTCAAGACATTTGGTCCAGGCCAGGCGTGGTGGCTCATGACTGTAATCCCTGCACTTTGGGAAGCTGAAGCAGCAAATCGCTTGAGTCCAGGAATTCAAGACCAGCCTGGACAACATAGTAAGACCCTGTCTCTACAACAAATAAAATATTTTTATATATATATATATGTGTGTGTGTGTGTGTGTGTGTGTGTGTGTGTGTATATATAGTATGTATGTATGTGTATATGTATGTATATATATGTCATATATACATATGACATTCAGTCCTCTTGGTTGATTATGGGAGCTGTTGTACACAATTATAAAGACTGTTTTCAGGAAGAGAGGATGTGAGATTATCCCTAGGGCAGTGTGATTGCTCTCATTTGGCATCTAGGATTTCTGGTTGTTTTTTCCACCTCCTAAGAGTAAAGACCCATTTACTTGAGAGGATGAAGGTGTCTTTGTAGAGGTTTTGACTTGTAAATATAACGAAAACTTACACTGTTACCTACAATTGTCTCTGGGTGATTTTTCCCCTATTTATCCAACAACCGTACCTTTTATAGAAAGAAATTATTGCAATATTTGAACTTGTGAGGAGTCTATCATTATTACCTTCAACATGTATTGAAAAGCAAAAATTTGCTAGCTTTTATGCCAGGGAAAAAAAATGGCTTCTCATGTAGTTCATTTCTGTTCTGGAAGAGAAAATTTCTTTCTTGCCAATGAATTTAAATATGCTCAATTTACCTGCATTGTTTTGAATTACAGGAGGAGGAATTAGGCTATATCTTAGAGGGGTAAGGAAAAAAAAAGCCCTCCACCTCTCTGCATCTAGAGACATTTAAATATGTTTTTCAGCATGTTACAGAATCTTCTTGAGGGAAAATAAAAAGACTGTCTTAACTCTTCTTTGAATGGCTTTTGTGATCATCTTTATAAAAGCCAGGCAGAAGCTTAATAATTCTTCTAGTCCTGTGTTATAGTTATTCAGAATATTTAAAGAGGAAATATCCTGGTAGGATTTCACGTGAGTTAGAGCTCACTGTCACTTATCAGAGGGAAGGAGATAAAGTCAGATCTTCACTGTTAGGTGCGTCATGCTCAGCTCTGTGGAAATGTTGTGGTTTCTTTTTTTTCATAAGCAGTGGTTAATTTTGTGTGTGCTTTTACTTATTTGACTTTAATTTTTGTCCTTTTACGCAAGCATTTGTCTTATGAACTGTCGCAGGTAACATTTGGCTATAAAGTGATTTATGTAAAAAAAGGATTCCCTAACTGAGAGACTTCACCGGAAAAGGTTTTGTTTGTTCATTTGTTAATTTTGTTTACCTTGCGCAAGTGTATGTAGTTTGCTGTCCTGAAAACGCACGAGGTGAACTTCGCGTTAAGCAAAGCCATGAACCAGTCTATTTGAAGGGAAGACTGCATTTCTGTGTATGTGTGTACCTAAATTCACTGGATCACGGTGTGGCGTGTCTGATTCAAACAGGCCAGCTTAAGACATTCTGGAGGAGCAGTAGTCTCCTTGGGATAAACATACATGCCCATGTGTTGCAGAGTTCCCATTACTTAAAGGCAAGAAGGAAGAAAGAAATTTCTGAGGAGTTTGGGTGTCCTAAGGCTGAAAACCAGTGACCCATTCTCCCGACCCTGAAGTCCAGTGACCAAGAATGAGACCAATGAAGTGAAAGCTTTGTTCTGAAGGAAGCGAGAACCGTACCTCACTATTGCTGATGAGAACAGAGGCTTTCCCACAGCTTGTAAAGCTTCCCTATTTCTGCAGGGTTCTCAGAGTCACCATTTCCTTCCTCTTTTAATTCTTCCTCCAGCATTTGAGGGTGTGAGTTCAGCTTGAAGAACCAGAACCTCGTCCTCCGCTCCCACACCCCTATCCCTGCCTGACGAGATTTGTTAAAAGGTCTCATAAGGGTGATTCTGAGGGTGAATGATGGAACTTAGACCATAGTGACATTCTGCTTGGGCCGTGCCGGTGGTTATAAACGGATTGTTACACCAGTGTTGGCTTTTTCACTCTGTTTTTGTTTTTGACTCAAAATCCATTTAGATTCTTCTCAACTTTTAACTACCGTATTAGTCCATTTTCATGCCGCTGATAAAGACATACCTGCAACTGGGTAATTTATAAGGAAAAAAAGGTTAAATGGACTCACAGTTCCACGTGGCTGGGGAGGCCTCATAATCACAGCGGAAGGTGAAAGGCACATCTCACATGGTGGCAGACAAGAGAAGAGAATGAGAATCAAGCAAAAGGGGTTTCCCCTTATGAAACCATCAGATCTTGTGAGACTTATTCACTACCACAGGAAAAGTATGGGGGAAACTGCCCCATGATTCAGTTACCTCCCACTGGGTCCCTCCCACAACACTTGAGAATTATGGGAGCTACAATTCAAGATGAGATTTGGGTGGGGACACAGCCAAAACATACCAGCTATTGAAGGAGAGGAGATGATTTTTTTGGCATTTTATCATCCCATATTCCTCTCTCTGTCTCCACCCTGCTCTATGCACTTGGACGTGGAAAGAAATCCCTACTTTGGCTAATGGGAAGGAAGTGGAAGGCCACACATATATTGATATCAGTGAGGAAAAACTTTGCCTCCACTCCTTTAGGTTCAGAGACTGGGAGCCTGAAGGTTAAACTGACCAAAGACAGGTGAGTGAGAGAAGAAACAGCCCACTTACATGTGTAACCCTCATACCGAGGGAGTGCTCAGTGATGAATAACTCAGAGGGTGGGTCAGTCGTTTGGGGATTCTGTATCCAACTCAGTACGGGAAAGGGAGCTGGGAGCAAAGGCTTTCGTCAGAAGAACAAATAGATTGCTTTGGGAAAGACAAATTGGATTTGAGGAAAGCAAGTGAGAAGTAAGAAAGTTTGTGCTAATGTTTGTTTATGCAGGTCTGAGTGGTCTTTCTCTCTTCTTCATGGCCAGGCTGGGAAACGTCCCCAGAGAGGAGATTTATGGCAGCTTTACTCTTACGTCTCTCTCCTGGGAGGAGAAGCTGCCCCCAAAGAGGGAATTTATGGCAGTCTCCATTTCTCTAAAGTTTCTATTTTACAGCAGATAATGGGAGCTCCAACAAGACTTCTTGCTGTATCTGTCGAATCTCAACTATCTTGAGCTTAAAATAATCTTCTGTGGACTCTGGGGTTCTCAGTGTCCTGCGCTGACAACCAGCAAGAGCATCTCCTGTGTTTTCCACTGTTGATCTGTGACTTCCTTTACTGTCTCAAAGTGTGCTTCCGAGAGCACTGCCAGCCCCAGCCCCTCCTGATGTGCTCAGCTTGTAGGATGAGATTGCGTTCTTCCCTCCAGATTTCTCTGCAACCTGAGTGATGCAGAGGTGCTGGGATGGCAAGGTCTATCTGAGGACTGAGATGAAAGCTCTCCTTCCTGGACCTCTCCCTTACAACTTTCTCCTCCGTCACCTTTTTTGTCTTTGCTATTCCTTAGTTCCAACTCAGTAATCTTTTGCTTGTTGCTTCTATTTTCCTTCTTTCTGAGATTATTTATATTGCCAGAGAGTTTTCTATTGTGTGCGAGCTCAGCTGTCTCTTAATATTTTCCTCTTACTTTGTCTTCTTGGGACTTGAAATATTGCTTCAAAAACTTAGTGTTTATGAGAGCCTTGCCGGGCCGTGTATTAAATAACATCGGCGTCTCACCCTTTGGTCTCACAGTGTCAGTAGAAAGTGAAAAGCATTATCTCATGCTTTTTGGTGGTTCTTTTTTTTTAACTTTTTTTTTTATTATACTTTAAGTTCTAGGGTACATGTGCACAATGTGCAGGTTAGTTACATATGTATACATGTGCCATGTTGGTGTGCTGCACCCATTAACTCATCATTTAACATTAGGTATATCTCCTAATGCTATCCCTCCCCCCTCCCCCACCCCACAACAGGCCCCAGTGTGTGATGTTCCCCTACCTGTGTCCATGTGTTCTCATTGTTCAATTCCCACCTATGAGTGAGAACATGAGGTGTTTGGTTTTTTGTCCTTGCCATAGTTTGCTGAGAATGATGGTTTCCAGCTTCATCCATGTCCCTACCAAGGACATGAACTCATCATTTTTTATGGCTGCATAGTAGTCCATGGTGTATATGTGCCACATTTTCTTAATCCAGTCTATCATTGTTGGACATTTGGGTTGTTCTTTTCACACATCCTCCCTACAAAGTTATGTCATTGGTATGCTGTTTGTAAGTCTTTCTTGGAAGGTAAAAATACAAAACACACTCTTCTTTTCACTTTTGGTAAAATAAAGAGTAGAATGAGGCTGAGTGCGTTGGCCTGTGCCTGTAATACCAACACTCTGGGAGGCTGAGGCGGGAGGATCACCTGAGGTCAGAAGTTTGAGACCAGCCTGGCCAACATGGTGAAACACCATCTCTACTAAAAATACAAAAATTAGCCGGGCATGGTAGTGGGTGCCTGTAGTCCCAGCTACTCTGGAGGCTGAGGCAGGAGAATCGCTTGAACCTGGGAGATGGAGGTTGCAGTGAGCCAAGATGGTGCCAGTGCACTCCAGCCTGGGTGAGAGCCTGTCTCAAAAAAAAAGGAAAGAAAGAACAGGTCATCCCCCTACCCAGCCATCCCCAGGTCTGTCACGTGGAGCTCAAACCCCTGTCCACTGTGCCTGGGAAGATCATGTAAGGATCAAGTGATCAAATGCTGTAAGATCCTTGAGAATATGTCAGTAGCTTCATTACATAAATGCAGATTTACTGTTAATTCCCAGCCAGTTGGTAAACTCTTAGAGCTGTCTTTTGCCTCTCCTTTTTTTTTAATAGGGCTGTATCTTCGTATGTTCAGCATGCCTTTGAAAGAGTTGTTCCAACAGTTACCCTAATTTGTAGGCCAACTCCAAAACAAGCCTGTTTATTGGTTCAGGTTGGAGTTGGATTTCACAATCAATTTATCCTTAATGTATTGATAGCATCTGGATGTGTCCATGTGTACTCAACCAATAGTGCTCAGAAATGCTCATGTGATGGAAAGTCTGCTGTAGAGTCAGCTTGGTATAGTTTGAGTCATTATATGACTACATGCCTTTATATTATTTCTAAGTGCTTTTGAAACAATCTCATACTTACAGAAATATTGGAGGTACAGAATAAAGATACTATTCATTCTCCTGATTGATTTGGGATAAGTTGAAGGCCTGATGCCCCGTCACCCCCAAATACATGTTGAATATCCTTTATTCCAATTGCTTGGGACCAGAAGTGTTTTGGATTTCATCTTTTTTCAGCTTTTGGAATACTTGCAGTATACTTATATTATGTTGACACTCAAAAATTTCAGAATTTGGAGTATTTTGAATTTCAGATTTTCTGATTAGGGATGTACCTGTACTTTTTTTTTTTTTTTTTTGAAATGGAGTCTCACTTTGTCACCCAGGCTGGAATGCAGTGGCACAATCTCGGCTAACTGCAACCCCCGCCTCCTGGGTTCCAGCGATTCTCCTGCCTCAGCCTCCTGAGTAGCTGAGACTACAGGCGTGCACCACCATGCCCAGCTGTTTTTTGTATTTTTAGGAGAGATGGGGTTTCACCATGTTGGCCAGGATGGTCCCAATCTCTTGACCTCGTGATCTGCCTGTAAGCAGGCTTTTCTAACGGGAGTGGCTCAGGCCTGCTGTGTTCACCCTTTTCTGTGCGCTTGTGGTGGAACGTAGGCTCCAATTCCAGTCCAGCATGCCAGGGTTCATCCTAGCCTTTTCCTTCCCTATACTTGCAACTCCGGCTGTGACAGTGGAAGCCTGGCCTGTGCTCTCCACCTTTGGAGTATGTATTTATTTCGTCAGGCCCCAGCGTCTCTCCAGTATCCTCACCCTCCCAACAGCTGTCCCCACATGCGACGGCCTCCCCCCTGCGTCCCTCCCGCACTTCCATCCTTTTCCCTGGTGGGTTCCTCCCAGATGGGTTTCATCAAGGAGGGCCCTTGGGACCAATGCCTTTGGAAGGGAGGGGAAGGCAGTGGGATTGAGAAGACAGAGATCATCCCACAGTGAGGCCAGGCAGGCACCCGCAGCAGCTCTGGGGTTAAAGGCTCTTCATGGCTGTCCGGAGTTGGGCCCCAGTGACCTTTTTACCTCCTCCACAGTCAGTCCCTGGATGGGGCCCTTCTGGGAAGGGCAGGGCCAAGGCAGCTTTTTGCAAAACCCTAAAGGGGGCTGGGCACAGTGACTCACGCCTGTAATCCCAGCACTTTGGGAGGCCAAGGCGGGCAGATCACTTGAGGTCAGGAGTTCAAGACCAGCCTGGCCAACATAGCAAAACCCCATCTCTACTAAAAATACAAAAAAAAAAAAAAATTACCACTATAGGCGTGGTGGTGGGCACCTGTATTCCCAGTGACTCAGGAGGCTGAGGCATGAGAATCGCTAGAACCCAGGATGCAGAGGTTGCAGTGAGCTGAGCTCTTGCACCATTGCACTCTGGCCTGGATGACTAAGTGAGACCCTGTCTCAAAAAAAGCAAAAAAAAGCAAACCTAAATAAAAGGGCCACAACTGAAGGCTTTCTCCCAGCAGGTGGGGCAACAAGCCCCCCAGTGAAGGGGTCCAGGCAGCACGCCATCCGCCAGCTTCCCCAGCCCGTGCCCTATCCTTACTCAGTCCCCTCTACCCCTCACTGCCATGGCTTCTAAACAGAATTGTTCAGGAAGGGCAGGGAAGAGAAAAGGAGCCCGCTGTTTTTAAATGATGCTATAACTTAAATCTTCATACCTTTAGATGGGCTTTTCCCTATTGTGAAAGTTTTTACTGAAACACTTGTTTCCGTGAAATCATCCCAAACTAGGAAGAGAAAATTAAGCCAGCCTGGTTCTGTTTCCCCCAGATAACCGCTCCCTTCATCCGTCGCTCCGATGTGGCAGCGCGTGTGTGTGCTTCGTCACCTGGAGGTTTGATGAGCAGTCTCATCTTTGAGCCTTGTTCTGCAGTTTGTCCTCTGACCTGGCTTGCACATTTCTCCTGCGTTCTTATGTCTCATTATTTTATTTTTCTAGGGACTCTAAGAATCTCGATAGTGAGCTCTTTCCAACAAAGTTGTGGGGCCACCAAACTCGTAGTGGATAAAACTGCAAGGGAAAATGTAGCCGTGAAGCACTTTTATTCTACATTTCCCATTTTTACTCTCCATTTCCCACAACACGAGGAACATACGGTGTTCCCAGTTGTGCTGTTTCTTTTGTTTTTTTTTTTTTTTTTTTTTTTTTCGAAAATGCAACAAAAGCAATAAGCAAGAACCGCCCCAACGTGGGTCCTGGAGTCCCTCTTCAAAGGCACGGAGAGGGAAGTCTCTACACATAGGGTCAATGGAGGGCCTAGAAAAACCAACAGCCATTCAAGGCTGTAGGATTTAAAGCATGATCTTATCTACAGAAGATTACTTTCTAGTTCTCACTACATGGAAAGTCAAGCTCGACCCATCAGAGAAACTGAAGAAAAACAAACACCCAGGGGCTGGGATATGAAAGACCCTGAATAAATATGAAGTAAATTTAGTAGAGTATGCAGATAAAAAGTACAAGTTGGAATTTAATCCTTAATTTTTTTTGCCGTTGATACTTTAAAAAAAAAAGATTTATTAGTGGAAAAGTATTTTTCCAGTCTTTAGAAAGACATTCCTAAAAAGCTGGAATTTCATATTTCAGTAGTTTGGTGATATGTGAACGAAATAAAAACCTATGATCTGTTGCCAGTTGAGAAGCTGACCATTACTTTGTCCCCATGATAGGGTTAAAAATCTGTCAAAAGGTGATTGAAACCTACAAGTGCTTGTGTTTTCAGCCAGGCATTATGTATATCATATTCCCATAAATATTTGGATAAGGGCTGTAGTGCCTAATTTTAAAACAAGAACCCATCGAATCTGCTTTTTGTAGCTCTGGTTGCCAGTTTTACACTGGTGAATTCATTACCTGCGGTTTTTCTTGGGGCAGGAGAAAGTTTTTTTCTTAAAAGTGATGAGCAACAAGTGACAATATCTAGGTTCCAGAAGCATGTCTCACTCTAAATTCTTTGTTGTGTGGGTGGGTGTGGGGAGGGATGCGAGGAGCTTAATTTTTATTCTTCACTAAATAGTTACGTTTAAGGAAAGCAGTATTGCACTTGATATTTATATATGATGGCAAGACAGTGCCATCTCTTCAAGCAATGTTTGTTGACGTTTTTGGATTCCCATATATAAAATCAGTTCCTTGTGGATAACTATAAAAGGCGTTTGGATTTCCAGAACTCTCGTTTTCCTAGTGCGTTGAAAAGGTTTTGGGGAAAACTTCCATACCCTTCATCTAGATTGGTGTTTCCTCTAAGATCAGAGACAAGTGCTTAAGGAGGACCTCAGAGAAACCTTAGAAGATGTGAACCGAGAAGGAAAGGTACAAGCAGGCAGCAGCCATGGTCAGGAGAAGCTGCTGTGTGGGTGGTGGGGAGGTGCAGGCAGGCAGTCCGGGGGTCCCCATTCTTGTCACCCCCCACCACCGGAGGAATGAGCCTTGTCTCAGTCAGCCCAGGCTGTGCAGCAAAGAGCCACAGGCCACATGGCTTTTGCAACGATGTTTATTCTCTCAGTGCTCTGGAGGCCTAAAGTCCAAGATGAAGGTGCCAGGGTTGGTTTCTCCTTAAGCTTCTCTTTTTGGCTTGTGGATGGCCACCTTCTCCCTCTGCCCTCACATGGTCTAGTCTCTGTGCATGTACACCCCTGGTGGCTTTTCAACTTCTTCTTCTTCTTCTTCTTTTTTTTTTTAAGAGACAGAGCCCCACTGTGTCGCCCAGGCTGGAGTACAGTGGTACAATCATAGCTTATTGCAGCCTTGACCGCCTGTGCTCAAGGAATCCTCCTGCCTCAGCCTTCTCAGCCTCCCCAGTAGTGCCCCACCGTGCCCATAGTTTTTAAATTTTTTGTAGAGATGGGGGTCTCGCTATGCTGCTCAGTCTGGTCTTAAACCTCTGGGCTCTAGCAGTCCTCCTGCCTCGGCCTCCCAAAGAGCTGAGATGACAAGGATGAACCTCCACACTCAAACTTTTCATCTTCTTACAAGGCCGCCACTCCTATGGGATTAGGTCCCCACCCTTATAACCTCGTTTAATTTAATTACCTCATTGAAAGCCCCATCTTCAATTACAGTCCTATCGGGGGTTATGGCTTCAACCTATGAATTTAGGAGGGACATGGTTCAATCCATATAATAAGAATGAAGGTCTCCTATGTGAGGCCCCTCAGTTAGATTTACCGCTTTTTGCGGGGGGCGGGGGGAGATTTAACTGGAGAAATGCCTTTTATTTTTTCCTAATACACAAATAGACTGTAGCTTTCCAAAGACCTCAGTCTAATAAGAAATAGAGATGCATATGAAGTACTGTTGATTCCAGCGTGCATTCTCCTTGCAGTATGATTTCATCCACTATCTATCACTCAATCAAGATTTGAGTCTGTGGGGAATTGCGGTGAAGGTGTGCATGTTCAGAAAGGATTCGATTTACTGCTTCGGAGAAAGCAACCGAAGCCATGGAGGGGGTTGCTGGGGGGACTGGAGAGCAGGTGGAAGCAAGTTTTAGTTCCTGGAGCAATCTTTCACCATCCCAACCTAGAGGAGAGGAGTGGCCAGTTACCCTCATGGGCAGAGTATGGCAAGCGGCATTACCATTTCACGTTGCTCCCTTTACACTTGAGAGATACAGCAGCCTTTTCCTTTAACTGCCACTCATCCACCGGAGACCCCTTACGATTCTGTTTACACTGAAGCCACTTGCTGCCAGTGTCTGCAAGGCTGGGGGTCTTCACTCGGTTTCCAGGTCCCAATCATACAGTCACTCTGCATTTTTAATGGTAGCTTTTTTCTTTCTTTTTTTCCCCTTATAAAATCCATTGTGTTTCTGTCCATTTAAATGTGACCTTGCTTACCTATCACCATTCTGCACAGATGCCATTTATGAATAATGGAAATCGTCCCCATTTCAACAATATGATACACAGTCTTGACAAAGATATCCTTTCAGTGTTCTGAATTTGCATGGTTTTCAAGGCAGAATCCTGATCCCATATGCACTCACATTTTTCAAAAATGAAATATGATAGCAACAGGAAAATACCCATTCGATTTCACTAACCTCATTTCGAGAGCCATGCCCATCAGGTATGTATCCCGCACCGCTCATCTTTGGTATGAAGTTGTATATAGCAAAATGAAGGTGTGCTACATGTGGGGGTGTTTATGGAAGTGGATTCTGGTTTAGCACTGTTACGACACATTTGTTGCACACTAGTGAGCACTTCTTATAAATATCTCTGTGAGAAATAACAGAAGCAACATGGGAAACTGCACGCGATATGCTTTGTCATTGGAAAATGAAGTTGCTGCCTTCGGAATGTGTGGTACAGAATAGGCCTGAATCATAATCTGGTCTTGCCCTCGCTTTTCTTCCCCACCTATTTTCTAGATACAGAGGCAAAACATACAGGGCTGTGGTCAAAATCGTACGGACATCTGACCAAGTCGCAAATTTCTGCCGCCGAGTCTGTGCCAAGCTAGAGTGCTGTCCAAATTTGTTTAGTCCTGTGCTGATATCTGAAAACTGCCCAGAGAACTGCTCCATTCATACCAAAACCAAATACAGTAAGTACAAATAATGAAAAAAGAAATGCATGAGCCCAGAGACCTAAACTGCACTCTAAGGTATTTGGTTTTTGTTTCATTTGCTTTTTTCTTTTTGAACCTTTTGACTAGTCTTCCATAGGAATTGCTATGGAAGGATTTTTAAGGATTTGCTGTAGCAGATACATGTGTTTTTAGCCTGACATACGGAGGGGATGGGATGATTTAAAACAGGATGAATTTTCATTGGTAGGCCTTGGAAAAGAAGAAGAGGAACTGTGTGTACTGTCATGAGTTTCAGTGGATTGATTGATTCTACAGCTCAATGGATGGCAGGAGAGCACAGTAAAATTGATCACAGTAACAGTAACCCAGATGACTCTTTCAGTCCTTACTCTGGGATAGTGTAATGATGCTTTCATTGCCCTTCTTGATACGGGGGCCACATCCTTGTCATAATCGGCTTCTCATGTTTAGACGCCTTCCTCAGCACCCTCACTGAAGAGAGCCATGGAGGACTCAGAAGCCACCATCACTTTCTTTTCTGCCAGTTGGCTTTGCCTCTCTCCCAGGACACAGGGTGCAGGACTCAGAGCTGTCCCCACTCTCCTACCTTCAGCTCTTGCCTCTTCCATCCCCAGTCCCATTCGAGGATGTCTGGCCTTGGGCAACCGCTTCCCCTGAGCCCTGCCCTTCTTTCTTTCTGATGACCTTCTCCATCCATAGTAGCCACTCCCAGACACCTCCACCTCCTGTGCCTGAGTCCTGTTCTCTCCCTCTGACCCACAGTTCTGAGTTTCCTGCGTCTCCCCTCAGTTCTCTCTAATGCAAGGGGGAGTGACCTGGAAGTTAGCTCTGCCAGCCACGTTCCAGCCAGCTGGGATGTGACAAGGGCTTGGCCATGTGGCCAGTGCTCTGTGAGCCACAGTCACTTGTGACGTTTGTCAACATGGGTGCTGGAACCAGGAATCTGAATGTACTGGAAACGCTGTGCAGAGTGTGACTTTCTTTGTATTTTATTATCTCTCAGTGTGTTTCTACACACACACAACACACACACACACACAGAGTCCCCTTGCCACTCTGCCTTCTGATGGAGGCCAGCTGTGCCCTCACTGATCACACAGACCTCCCCTCATTCTGTGCACAGGGCCTCTCAGGTAGGGCCCGCAGGTGTGTTGGCCCAGCAGGTCACCTGGTTCCGGAAGAGCTTGTTTCTCCATCACTGCACCTTTTTCCAGGGGAGGGCTTCACTGGGAAACAGCAGCTCCTGAGTAAGAAAGGCCTAACCGAGGGCTCGCCTTTGCCGTGTACGGTGAATGCTTACCTGCCAGGTGGGCTTCTGTGTTCTTCCAGGACACTGGGAATGGCAGGGAAGGAGCAGGGTCCCACACCTCCCATTCAGCATTGCCGAAATGAACTCAGAGATGTCTCCGGATCTCATATAATAAAACTCTTAAGTCCCAAGATCCTTTGGGTTAATTTATAATGAATGTTACTAAAGGCTGAACAGAGGCTCCAGTGGGAGGAGGACAGAATGATATTTTGGGGGAGTCAAACACTGGAAAAGCAGGGGTCACCCAGTCTCGTTCTAAGGCTCCAAACACATACTGGCCTTTGGCTGCATTCCCTAAAACCAGTTCTCATCCCCAGCCACTGGCTTCTAAGAAGCCAGCCTGCCCTGGCCCTGTCATGCACGCTTGGGGTTTGGGAGGGGACAGAGGCTTGCTCATTTGCCCCGTACCTGGAGATGGCCACAGAGCAATGCTCGCCCACGGCAGTTTATTCCTGCTCACTGAGTAACACGGTCCTTATAGAACTGGACACGGGACATTGTTCCAAGCTCTCCTGCCAGCTGCTCCTTTTGAGAGATTGATGAGAACAGGCCGGGGCTCCCGGAGCAGGTGTGCCTCCTGGGAGTTACAGGGCTGCTGCTGTGCGGCTTCCCGACAGTTTTTCCAAATGCCATGCTGTGATCAAACGCAGGGGAGGAGGTGGGACATAGAGGGTCTTAGGCCTGAAGGAAACCTATGCTTGTTAGTCCTGATGGTCTCATTTTGTAAGTAAGGAAATTGGGGTGCAGAAAGGATAGGTGACTTACCTGTAGGACAAAGCCCACGACTCAGTACTGTGAGAATGCACTAAAATCATGCTCCCTGCAACGGGGCTGCTGCAAACCAGGGGTGGTGCATTTGCCATTTTGCTTTGGCCCACCCCATTCGTAGATAAAGGTTCCTTGGCTGCATTCAGTTATTTTGTGGCTCATGGGCATCACATAGTGGGACGGTTGAACCTTTTATTAATGAGTAGGCGTCTGGGTCGTAATTGAATGCTGGATCCTTAGTGGTGGTTTTCATTAGCTGATGATACATTTTGTTTATAAAAAACATTAATCACTACTAAAGTTCAATAAATAATTTTTGAATTAAGATGTACACCTGTGTCTCTGCTGTAGAATTCAGAAGCAATGTGAGTCCCAGCAAATGAGAAGGAAATAAAGTATACAATGATGTAATAGAGAAGGAACTCTGAGAAGAGGAAAAGTGCTTGGTGAATTTGGCCCACGTGTTCAGGATCATAGCTTATCTTGGTCGGACCAAGAGCTGGGGGAGTCCCTCATGCCAGGACCACGCCAGCAGATGTTCACCCAGTGCTTGCTGACTGACCAGTCGCTCAAGATTCAGACTTGGGAGCAGGTGTCAGAGCACTCCGGTGGATGTCATTGCCACCACTGTATGCAGTGTCTGGGGTCCAGACAGGGATAAACTCCCGTGGGAACTGTGGACACCTTTGTCTCTTTCACCTTCTGCAGAAGTCAGCTCTGGCTTACAACAACATACCACAGACCCTGAGCTTTCACTGCGCACACTTACCTCCCACAGTCCTGGAAGCTGGAAGTCCAAGATCAGGGTGTCAGCAGCTTTGGTTTCTGATGAGATCCTTCCTGGGCCTCAGGCAGCCACCTGCACCCTGTGTCCTCATGGGGCCTCTCCTTTGGGTCTTGGGTCCTTGGTGTCTCTCCTGGACACTCTTAGGACCTCATTAATGTCCTATTGGATTAGGGCCCCACCCTTGTACACTCACTTTGGGGGTTCGGGACATCCAGATACACTCACTTTGGGGGTTTGGGCTTCAACACTGGGGACGGGCCAAGTTCAGCCCGAACACCTTCCAGACCTGAAGCTTTGGAGCAGTGCTTCTCCTGTGGGTCTGTTTTCTCAGAATGACTTCGTAAGGCACAAATGAACTATCAGATGAAAGAATCGTTTCCCTTCTTTCTCTCTCCTCTCTCTGTTCATGTCTGTGTGTGTGTATAGCCTTCAAAAGTTTCTCATCTTCCTTCCTACAGCCTATTACTATGGAAAGAGAAAGAAGATCTCCAAGCCCCCCATCGGGGAAAGCAACCCCGACAGCGGACACCCCAAACCCGCCAGGCGGAGGAAGCGACGGAAATCCATTTTCGTGCAGAAGAAACGGAGGTCTTCTGCCGTGGACTTCACCGCGGGCTCGGGGGAGGTATGTTCTGCCCGGGGCACCTGCCAGCCTGTAGCTCTGTCATCTGGCCCTGGCCGGCAAGTGTGGCTGCTTCACAGCAGAGGTGGCCCTGGAGATTGTGGCAAGATGGTCAGAAACACTGAAGAAGAGCCCCCTCCTCCTTACTTGCTGAAAACAAATGTAGTGTGTCCAGCTGCTTTGGCTGGGAAGGGCCTCGTAGGGCCCACGGGTGGGACCACTGGCTCCATTTCCGAGGGTTTGCTAGGTGGTCTGCACTGGGCCCAGGGTCTGACCGCGGGGCCACCGCTACAGGCCCCCGGGCCACCAGCCCCTTAAATGCCTTTTCCTCCTTCCCAGGAAAGTGAAGAGGAGGACGCTGACGCCATGGACGATGACACCGCCAGTGAGGAGACCGGCTCCGAGCTCCGGGATGACCAGACGGACACCTCGTCGGCGGAGGTGCCCTCGGCCCGGCCCCGGAGGGCCGTCACCCTGCGGAGCGGCTCAGAGCCCGTGCGCCGGCCACCCCCAGAGAGGACACGAAGGGGCCGCGGGGCGCCGGCTGCCTCCTCAGCAGAGGAAGGGGAGAAGTGCCCGCCGACCAAGCCCGAGGGGACAGAGGTGATGCCCGGGCGTGGGGACAGAGGGCTTCCCGCTGGGTCTGAAGAAGCACACCTGTTACACTTCAGGGCCACGATGTGGGGAAACCTGTTTAAAATACCTCCAACAGCAGCAGCTGCTCTAGCTAGTTCCCAAGTCAGGAACAAAGGCTGGCACTTCACCTCTGGGTGGAGGGGCCTTTCGGCATCAGAATGGAGTGCCCAGGGTGGAGACAGCGCCTCTTTCCTGGACGGCTTTAGTGCCACCTGGGTTCTTGTCAGGAGGAGGGCACAGTCCTCAGTTTCCTTTGAAGTCTGGGTTTCCAGAAATTCCTTCCCCGCATCTCCCCTGACTGCGCTGTGTCTTGCTCCCACGTCCCCTCTATAGGACACCTCTGTGATGTTTTAAAATATTTAATCAGTGTTTCAGGTCTCCCCTAGCCCCATGGGTGGTGTGAGATCAGCAGAAAGGGCCACTGGCACCACCATTACAGAAACACTGGGGGACACTGTCTCGTGTCTGCTTGGACGTGCCCCTTGTATTTCTCCTCTTTTCTCTAATCAGAGATGCTTCGTTCATAAGCAGGCCCAAGGTTTCCTGAACTAGGGATGCAAGAGCGACTGTCACTGTGCCTGCCTTCTTCCATCTGAAGGCACATGAGTCATTGCAGGGGGCATCATCACTGAGCCAAGAACTTTCTCAGGGACTGAGAGTGTGTGCAGCTTTTTCAGGTGCCCAGTGAGGGAGCAAAGGGAGGCAGTGGCTTCCGGCCAGGAACGGCCGAGGCCTGGAGAGTGCTGGAGAGGACCCAGCCAGCTGACTGTGCCGCAGCTGAGCTCCTCCTGCCCTTTCTCTGCAGGACACGAAACAGGAGGAGGAGGAGAGACTGGTTCTGGAGAGCAACCCGTTGGAGTGGACGGTCACCGACGTGGTGAGGTTCATTAAGCTGACAGACTGTGCCCCCTTGGCCAAGATATTTCAGGAGCAGGTACGGTGGTTGCCGCGTGTCGATTGTTTGATGTGCTGAGACTCTGCATCTGAAATGAACCTCGTGTCCTAGCCGGCTTCCTCGTGACACCTGCGAGGGGGTTCTTCGGCGCTGCTCGGCAGGTGTGCGAGACCCTTCTCCCTCCAAGGCCCCTGCTGAGAGCTGCCTGGCAGGGACGAGAGACAGAGCCTCATTCCTGCTCCTCTCAGGCCCCACCAGTGCCATGGTGGGGGGCGGAGGGGTGACTCTTCCAGGCTCTAGTGACACCACCCAGCAGGGGTGGGAGGTGCCTGTTGCTGCCAGGTGAGGGGTGCGAGTCCACGCTCCCCCTGCCATCTCCACCGACTCTACAGTGGGGGCTCTTTACCACCAGGCAGGGGTGAGAGTCCCAGTTCCCTGGCTGGCCCTTTCAGATGCCAGGTCAGTGGTGGGATGGGGTGCCCAGTTGCCACCTGGCCAGGCCGGAAGTCAGGATAGCACACTCTGCCTTGGCTGCTCTCAGTGGGGTCCGTCCAGCCCTCCCTGTGATGTTCAGCTGCAGAAGAGATGCTGCTGTCTCACGGTTTTTTGTCTTGCTGGGCCACCCCTTGGCCAGGCCTTTGTCTGGAGAGAACTGGTTTTGGTTGAGCCTCCTGTCAGTGCCTTTTGGCAAATCTGGGTTGCAGCTTCTTCAGCTCCAAGTCTCAGGGGCATGAAGCTCACACACAAACAGCAACCACAACAACCAGAGAGCTCAGCACTGTGCTGTCAGCTGGGGGCCCAGGCCCCTAGCCGGTCTGCCCTCCTTTCTCCACCTTCCAGAGTCTTCTGTTTGTGAATTTGTATATAATGCCCATGGATCTTACTTAGGCCTAGTGGGAGAAGGAGGGAACAGTGTATCCACCTGGCCTGCCCAGAGCAGAAGCCCGCTGGCTGGTGTGTCGTACTGAATGCTGCTTTCGTCATTGTTTTCTTACCTTCCTCACTTCTTTCTGCATAAAATATTTTTAAGACCATGGTATGGTGATGGACAAATGCAATAACAGTCGATATAATTTCTACCTTAAAGGAGCCTATAGTCCAGCAGATGAAATGAGTATAGTTAGCTAAAACACAAGATCATATGATGCTGTGTCCTAAGGAAGAAGAGAGGGTTTTTATTTACATTATCCCTTAAATTAATACGGAAACAAGTTGCCACTCTGCACACACACCACCTTGCATCCTGCCTCACTGGCCTTGCAGAAAATGCCAGGCTCTTGCTGTACTCTGTGCTTAATTTGTTGAAGTTTCTTGCGTTGTCCTGGTGTAAATATCTGTGTTCAAAGACCTCATGTTAAAAAAAAAGTACTGTTTTTCATATAATGTTAAAGATAGGTTTATTCAGTCTCTTTTTAGATCATATAAATCAGTAGTCTAGAAAGAGGATATTTCCAGCATTAAATCAGGAAACATAAAAGGTCTGTGACTTCCTGTGTACCCAGAAAATTTCCCAGCTTTTCTCCCAAGTTCATGCAGCAATGAACTGGAAAAAGCAAATTAAAATGGTCTCCAGTGCCACCCAAAGAGAGTAGTTCTTTCCCCTGTGTCCCGAGAAGTCCAAGAGATGAAGTAGTTCATCCTATTGACAACCACTAGAACCTTCTGCAGACACCCACTAAGTTCATGCTGAAAGAATGATTAGGCCGGCCATGGCGGCTTATGCCTGTAATCCTAACACTTTGGGAGGCCGAGACAGGCAGATCACTTGAGGTCAGGAGTTCGAGACCAGCCTGGCCAACGTGGCAAAACCCTGTCTCTACTGAAGAAAAAAAAAAAATTAGCTGGGCGTGGTGGTGGGTGCCTGTAATCCCAGCTACTTGGGAGGCTGAGGCAAGAGAATTGCTTGAACCTGGGAGGGAGAGGTAGCAGTGAGCCGAGATCGTGTCACTGCACTCCAGCCTGGGCAACAGAGTAAGACTCCATCTCAAAAACAAGCAAAAAGAAAGAAAGAAAAAAGAATGATTGGAGGCAGAGGGAGTCACCTCCTCACCTTCTCACACTGGCCACCCTTCCTGTCTGGACAACTCTGAAAAGCAACCAGGGAGAGACTTCCTTAGACCTAAAGAACCTGGGTGATGAGCTTGTCCCTTTAAATAACACACAAACAGGAAAGAAAGACAATTGTAAGAAATACAAGGGCTTAGGTGATCGGGGGCTTATTGATAAGCCACATCTCCATTTTGAAAACAAAATTAAAGCAATAGGTTGAAATGCTGTGTAAAGCGCTGCCCAGCACAGCACGTTGCCTGTCTGGCATTTATTGACAGTGGTGCTGCGGCGAGATAAGCGTTGTATTCAAATACGTGACAAGCGCTGGTCATGCATGTTTGGTTGCGCTGATCACGCAGGTTTGGTTGCACTGATGCGTATCTGTCAGTCCCTGTGTGCATTCAACATACACCGATTCAGTCCCTGCGAGGTGCCTTCTGATAGCTAAAGATACAAGGTGTGGCATTCTGTATTACTCTAATGTTTTGGTTTTATTTTTAGGCTCAAATGCTTAGTTTTCACAATAAAAAAAAATTTAGTTAGGCCTGAATGAAGAGCAGATTTCTCATTTCTAGATCCCAGGTTAGGTATGAGGGCTTATACCTTGAAACGTCAATAGCTCCTGTGTCTGTCTACACTGTGTACAAGTTCTCAGTAATAAGCAAGAAAGTGAAACAAAGCTGGTATGGGGAAAAGCCTAAAGTATTGAGTCTTCCTTTCTTATATTCCTAAGCCCAGTTGATAACACCAGAGAAAAGTTTCATGCCTTCCCTAAGCTAAGCCTTCTAGGAAATGGAACACTGCCGACACTGTCCCCCTTGTAGAATCAAGTTGCTCTTTTTTTTTTTTGAGATGGAGTTTTACTCTTGTAACCCAGGCTAGAGTGCAATGGCGCGATCTCGGCTCACTGCAACCTCCGCCTCCCGGGTTCAAGCGATTCTCCTGCCTCAGCCTCCTGAGTAGCTGGAATTACAGGCACCCGCCACCATGCCTGGCTAATTTTTGTACTAGACAGAGTTCTGCCCTATTGCTCTTCTAATATTAGTAAAAGCCTTGCCTTTCATCCCTACTTGTTTCTCTTACGAGAGAGAAAAATAGATAGACTTTCATTGATCATCATCTCATTCCTGTGTAATTTCACATTTCACATTAGGCAAGTTCACCTGTTGGAATAAAAAGCCATTGCCCACTGGGCTGTCTGAAGTACATGGGCACTTGAGTCCTTTTCTGTCCCATCAGACCTTTAATTACTAATTTTTACTAATTGGTTCATCGTCATTTAGCCCAAATACTCCAGCTCTGAGTTGGTGAGGCCTCCGGTAGGTCACCGCAGGCATTGTCTGAGATTACAGGTGAGCTAGAAGGAACCCAGAGACTTTCTTCACTGGCATGCGAATGAGATCACAGTGCACAGCATGGTCATCGCTATGTGCACGCAGGCCCTGAACGTTATAAATGCAGAGATTATTATAATTTGCAAAAATTCTGAACTCCCCATGACCAGCGTCTGTGCCTTTTATTTCTGAAATGTTATGGCAACCGCTTAAAAAATCTATACTCCATAATCTCATGCTGCAAACCTGTACATTACACAGTAAAAATCCACTCATCTATAACTAAGCACATACAACACTCTAAATAAAATTTTACCTATGTATTCAGCTTTCATCAGTCAGAGACAGCGCAATAAGCAGACTGCTCAAATGCTCAACTGACCTTAATGAAAAAATTTCAGGATAGTTTATAGGTTTAGTCCAGATTAAGCTGTCCTTTCTCTACTTCTCTAGATCTCAATACCTCCATTAGGAACTACCAGATCCTCACCCGAGTGCTCTATCAAAATCGATTTAATTTTGCCCTGTGCTAAGCATGTCGTATATCTTATCATATTTCATTTCTTTACAATTAGTCCATTGATGGTAGTTCTGTGTTTAACATTAAAAGTGATCTGCCGGCAGCTCTCAGTTCTATAGGAACATGTTTATAAAAATCAAACCACCTGTGAGGTATGCTGTTACCTAAATAATCCTTGAAAGAAAAAATAGTCTTCCAGATAAAGTGGCTTTCTGGGCTCGTCATGATTTTACCTTTGGTGTCTCCCCAGTTTCCTGGAATTCTATGTTCCAGGGAACTAGCTGTGTTCTTTCAGTCCCTCTTGGCCTTAATAATTCTTACTGGTCCCTGAAGTCTCAGTTCGAAGCCCTTTCAGCACCCCTATAAGACTGGCTTGGTTGCCTGTCCTGTTTGAGCCCTTAGCTCTGCATCCATATGTTAATATCCCTGTATCCTAATAGTCTGTTTACTTGTCTGCCACCCTCCAGATTCATGGGATGTCCAGAGAGGGAACCTTTCCTTTGTTCACTGTGACATTCCCCAGAGGCCAGCCAAGTGCCTGCCACTTAGTAGATGCTCAATAAATATTGGCAAGTAAATACATGAGTGTGTGCATCTGCACTGAAATGTGGTACATGCATTGGCCACCTTCACTGAAATTTTCTGTAAAGAAAGAGTTACACGAATATTTTCGTGCTGATAGTCAGTGGTGATTGAATCACCATCATGCCCAAGTACAGATGTTAAAGACTGAGCTACAGTTTTCCCTTCAAAGTTTAATGTCAGAAAACTACAGTTCTCATGCCAACACTTTCTCTAACTAGCTATGTGATCATAGTTAGATTGGCTAGCTTTTCTGGGCATTAATTTTCACCAGGAAAGTAAACTTCCTGGGAAAGTAAAATAAGTTCTATTTCTATTCTTTCCTGTTCTATGGATGTCATTGAACATAATGGTTAAGCCAACTGTCCATGGTTTAATGACATCCACAGAACAGAACAGAATAGAACATCAGCCCTCTGCCTACTTAAAATGTGTTTTTATGAGGCCCATGGTACCTGGAAGACTTTGAGTCCCTACACCCATGCCCTCTTGGTGTAATTTGATGTATTACATGTGGATTTGGCTCTGAAAGTGGAATTGGCCTACAGGCCCCAGGCCAGAGGTCCCCTTGGTTTCTTCGCGACCTAGAGCCAAACACTTATTTCACAGTACTCCCAAATCCCCCCAGCTGCAATCAGCCTTTTCTGTAGCATCTGAAAAGAAAGTAAAATAACATGTATGAGCACTATAGAGCAAGGGAAAAATGATATAAACATAGCATGAAAATATAGTGACAGTTTTCTACAGTTTGTCTCCTGCTTTCAGTGTGTATACAAGACAGATCTGTTTACTTTGTGATTTGATAAGGTCACCTTTGGTCTTGGTTGAACGTGGCTTCGAGTTGCTTACATCATAGCTAGTGCTCATCTGTAATTTAAAAATAAAAAATGACACTCACATTGATACTTTTAAAGTTAATGTTGCATTTTTATTGCTACAGTACTTATTAGGGAATATTGTTGCTTTTGAATCTGATCTGAAGATAAATTATTCCTGCTCTTAACATTAGTCTTTTGAATCTGATCAGATGATGAATCTATGCTTGCTTAGAAGATTAGTCTGCTCAAGGCTACCATTTATACACACTTTGCCTTTTTGCTTTAGATATTTTCAAGACAGCTAAATAAACCGTTAGTTTAAGAAAATAAGCTGCCTGTGCGAAAGTCACTGACAGGTGTTGTCGGAGACGTATGATCTTGTGCTTTTGCTTGGCTATTAATGTCCTTGTGGCTTATGGCAGCCCTGGGTATAATTCTTCTGCAAGTGGCAGAAATTCCAGTATGTAGAGCTCACTTAATGCTCTCACGGTACCACTGATCATCATTGCCTGGGGCCTGCAATCTCTCAGACCCCTCAGTGACTCCCTCTGGACGATTGAGATCATCTTGGTAAATAGGAGGGAGGATTGCGGTTAAAGTCAGCAGTCCGGTCAAATGACATCTATGTGAATGAACCAGATTACTATAGGAAGCAAGCTGCTGAAGAGACAGAGATGTCCAGTGGAAGGGTCTTAGAGCTTTGGAGTGGGTCTTTGTATGCTTCCTCCTGCAGCAAATTCAACTGAACATTCATTGAATGAATGTCTTCATGCCCTGTGTGTAGGTAGAGAAAGGCTGAGGCAGGACACAGTGGGGCAACAGATCTGTGTACGAGCGACACCTCGCTCTGGGGAGTGTGTGTCTGTAAATGGTGTGTGTGTGTGTGTGTGTGTGTGTGTGTGTGTGTGTGTGTGTGTTTCCCTTTATGGAAACCTGTGCTGTCGTTGGCATATCTGTCTTGAGCATCTTCTCACCCATCCTAATGGTGAAATGCCAGACCTTGGCAGGGAGCTGAGGGAGCCTTGTCTTTTAGTAGAGATTCCTTTGCTTAGTGCTCAGATGAAGTCTCAGCATCACTTAGGGAGGACCTGGCCCTGCCTGGGGTGGAGAGTGACTTGCCCTCCCAGCAAGGGGCGATAAGCTTGGGAAGCAATTCCCGCAGCAACCCACCTGTTCCAGCTCTTTCTACCCACCAGGGTAGGTATGTGAGTTTCAGAGTAGCCAGAGTGCCCTTAGCCAAAAGCTCTTGTATTTGTATTGTTGTTTTTTGTTGTTGTTTAGAGAGTCTCCTGCTGTGTTGCCCAGGCTGGAGGGCAGTGGTATGATCACAGCTCACTGCAACCTCAAACTCCTGGGTTCAGGTGATCCTCCCACCTCAGCCTCTGAGTAGCTGGCATCACAGGTTTGCACCACCATGCCCAGCTAATTTTTAAATTTTTTGTAGAGACCGTATCTCACCGTGTTACCCAGACTTGTCTCAAACTCCTGGTCTCAAGCGATCCTCCAGCCTCAGCCTTCCAAAGTGCTGGAATTATAGGCGTGAGCCACTGTGCCCGGCTACAAAAAGATTTTAGTAACACAAAGATTAGACAGTCATCAAGCCGGGCTGGTATCTCTACCAACAATCCCCTGAATTGAATGAAACAAGAGCATCCTGTTGTCATGTTTGGCCCCGGACTGGAGCCTGCTGTGACGCATCTGTGTACCCCAGTGCACACTGCCCCTTCTCTAACCTGCCTTTCTTTTCCTGCAGGATATTGACGGCCAAGCACTCCTGCTTCTGACCCTTCCGACGGTGCAGGAGTGCATGGAGCTGAAGCTGGGGCCTGCCATCAAGTTATGCCACCAGATCGAGAGAGTCAAAGTGGCTTTCTACGCCCAGTACGCCAACTGAGTCTGCCCTCGGGAGGTGGCCCATTATTGCT
This sequence comes from Homo sapiens, assembly GCF_000001405.40. Taxonomy (NCBI): domain Eukaryota; kingdom Metazoa; phylum Chordata; class Mammalia; order Primates; family Hominidae; genus Homo; species Homo sapiens. The sequence continues at coordinate 7,163,738 of NC_000010.11, read as the reverse complement.
GGGATGCGGTGTTGGTAAAGGTTTCCAGGACTGAAACTTTGATTTTCCGGGATATGTTAAATGGTACAGCCACTAAGTATCACCAGAAAACCAGAAGCCCAGGATCTTCTGCCTCCGCCAGCCTGTGAGCTGTTTCCATGTTTTCAAAGCACAGCAGCAGTCGCTTCTGGGGAGTGCCAGTTAAAGTCATGCATCAGACCCTGCCAGACGTGGGCCTGCTTCTTGGCTCACCCACGTTTTGCCTTTCTCCTGCCCCAAATCAGGCAGCTCCCTTGGAGCAGGGTTTCCTCAGATGAGGACTGCATTCTTTGAAAACAAAGAATGTCGCCAAGGAAGAAACCTCACGCCATGCTGTAGTGTTTCCTGTAATCACACGAGCACATTTATATATGCAGTTTCCCATGGATAGGCGTGTGACCCTGGTTGAGTGGCACTTGCGGTTTCATCTTGGTGGCAACTCCTTTGCAATGCAGCTGGCAGCGACATCCTTATAAAAACATGTGCTAAAGCTCTGTCCTCTGTTAGAGGTGCCTTTTAGGAATACGGGGAGTGAAGGAAGGCCGGCAGGCATCTCCATGCAACTAGATGGTTTGTTTGTTTGTTTGTTTGTTTGTTGTTCATTTTGTTGTGTTTTTTGAGACAGGGTCTTGCTCTGTCGCCCAGGTTGTAATGCAGTGGCGCAATCTCAGCTCACTGCAACCTCTCTCTCCCGGGTTCAAGTGATTCTCCTGCCTCAGCCTCCCAAGTAGCTGGGATTACAGGCACCCACCACCATGCCTGGCTAATTTTTGTATTTTTGGTAGAGACAGGGTTTCACCATGTTGGTCAGGCTAGTCTTGAACTCCCAACCTCAAGTGATCTGCCCGCCTCGGCCTCCCAACGTGCTGGGATTACAGGTGTGAGCCACTACGCCCCGGCCCAACTGGATGGTTTTTGATTGAAGCCTAGAACATCTGTAGAGACAAACTCTACCCAGTCTTTTCTAGACCCTCAACTATCTCCAGTGTTGTTGTTTAATCGTAGCCGGATCAGGGAGTGAGTCTTTTAGGCAAATGTTGGATTATATATCAAAGGAAAAGCTTAGTTTCAGAGAGGAGGAAGGGAAAGAGATGTGAGGGAAGCATTTCATCAACCAGCTACGTCCCCCTTAGAAGGATCACTGCAGCAGGTCACCGAGCAGGAGTCCCTCTGAGCGTCCCTTCTGTCTCGTTCTGCCCTAGCTGGCAGCATATGAACCAGGCATGATGCAGCAGGAGCAGTGAATCTGGAGTCAGCCACTTGGCACCCTGGTTTCGCTGAGAACAAACTCTGAGATCTTGGGTGACTTCTCATCACTCTGGACCTCCATTCCTGTGAAGTGACAGGTGTGGACCCTGAGGGTGCGGTGGTGAGCACACTGTCTCCTGCTGGCATTCACCCCACTCATGCTGGAAAGGAAGATCCAGATCGTACAAAAATTAGAAAAAGAAAGAATAAGAAGGGTCTGGTCCCAGTTCTGACTCGGCCATTCTTACAGCTCTTTCTGGCTTTGAGTTTGCTTGTGGAATTTCCTGGGCAGTTGTGTTAAATCCGCCAGGTCACGTGCAGACAAAGCTGTGGCTGCGAGAGTTGGCTGGCCTCTTGGACCAGAAGCCATCTCCATATCCTCATGAGCGATTCCATATCTCCACTCAGACCCTGTGGACTACAGTGTTCCGCTGTGGTGGCTGCCAAGATGCCTTCTTAAACTTATGCAAGGAAACCAAACCCTCCCACAGTTCCCAAGCAGACACTGGAAGCAGAGGCTTCTCACCCTTCCTGCTTTTTCACCACAATCACCTTGAGCTCGTCCCTTGGACTAGAGTCTCCACAGTTCCAGTAAAATTCTGCGGTGGGCTGATGAGCTGCTTGCATTTCTGTGACATTTCCAGATATGATTCTCAGTGGGATTTTGGAAACTTTGATTGCTCAAGCTCACCCTTCTTAACATTCTGTAATGGTTACAGATGAGAATGGAAAACACATATTTTATGGATGAGGCGTTTTGGTCTCCCCTGCAGTCGATTTCTAGAATCAAGTTTTAGAGTTCGGCTGATGCATCTGCCTGGGGACCTCAGATGGGAGGAGTGTGTCAGTTGTACCCCGACAGAAATGTCTCTGGGATCTGTGGCTGGCTTGCCCCGGGCATCTCTCCTTTAAGCTCAAGTTTTGAACTCTCTGCGGTTTTCCACCCCTGCCTTCTCAGCCACATGCTTTTGGCCTTAAACGCTCAGTCTTGTGGAGTTCAACTCTGTCAAACGATTGGAAAGGGCATCCATTTCCAGATCTTTGGCATTTTCCCCGCGCTGACTCTTTGATGATCCTTCACTGTGGCCTTTTCAAGCTCAGCTGTTCCTGTTGTATTTGAGACGAGGGTGAGGGAATGTGGTGGCCACAAAAGAACAGGGACTTGCAGCACAAATGTCACTTCTGTCTCCCTTTTCAGTGGTAGCACGGAGGAGGAGGTGCTGCGTTGGAGGGAGGGGATCCTCCAGGAGCTCTCTGGAGCCCATCTAGGAAGCTAGAGTGTGTGGCCCGCCAGGAGCTCAGGAAGGATACAGCCACTGTCGCAGGGGAAAGTGTTTGCTTCCCGTGGAGCCAAGCGCCCAAGACTCTCCGTATCCTTCACCCTGACAGTTTAACTTCAGCGTTTCTCTGTGCAGTTGCGGTCACCATGGGTGAGCACTGTCTGTGCACGTGCCAGGGAGGAGATGGCTGGGACCACTGCACAGGAGGGCGCAGCCTGGCGTCGCCATGAAAGTTGTCTCTGTGCCATCTCTCCGGTCCTTGAGGAGAGCCCAGAAAGATTTTAGGACCCAGGAGGTGCTTTTCCTCCAGCTGTTGCCAGTGTCCTTCTGAGCCTGGATTCTCCGGGGATTTCCGTCGTGGTGGATGGACTTCACATCAGCAGCAGTTCTGGTACAGAATTGTAATGTGTTTTCATTTCTCTGTAGGATTCACCTCTCACCAGCGTCTGTCTTAAAGGTAGGGCCAATTTCATGGAGCATTTTTCTGTGTGTGTCCTTGTTGCTTTTGCCAGAAAAAGTGGATTTGACATGCGTGCCCCGATGCCACCATAGCCCCTAGGCCAACAATGTCATGGTCTAAACACCAAAAAGTGATGCCCCGCATTCCTTCCCTGGATGGTACCGTTTCTTCTCCGTCTCTCTTTGATGATTCTTTGGGACCAAAGTCCTCTCCTTAGTGCGCCTACTTCCTGTGGGCATCATGCCACTTGGAACTTATTGGAACTGGCCCGGGAGACTCTGCAGTCTGCGCCGTTTGAAAACCCTGAGAAAGAGATGCCACCTCAACTTGAATCATGACAGCCCATCGCTCAGTCTCACCCTAAACTCATGGAGCTTGTTTCAGCTCCTCACTTCTTGACTGTATTTGTACTATGTTGAAAAAATATCCTGTCCACAAAGACATAAGCCTAACAACCTAGAAAAACAACAGGGTACTACTGGCATTACAGAACTTCTTTGCCTTTCAAAACAAAAGCAAAACACAGTGAACTTCACCACGGAGCTGCACAGCGTGGGGAACTCATCCATCACTTTCAAAATTAGAGTCATTTGATCCAAGTTGGAGTCAGACACAGTATTTGAGCTGCACGGCTTCTGGGTTCTCCCACCTTATTTGATCATATTCGAAAGATTATTTCCTGTGTTTGCTTTGATTTGTTCCTCAGTACATTAAAATGATCCACACCTTGAACACTGCCCTCTCTAGAAGGTTGATTTTGATCAGCCTTTTGAAGATGGGTGTCGTTTCCCTAACTTATCTCACAGAATTTTGAGTGTTGTATTTGGCAAGTTCTGAGATTTGCCTTCTGTCTTATGCCAAACACCCCTTTCTAAGAGCTGTCCCCGCTTAGTTTTAGAAGTACTAGGGGTTTTCATACTTATTTTATAGAACACCCATTTATATTTATTTCTGTATATAGAACTAAAAAAAACAGTAGTGTTAAAAATCTTTGTTGTGGTTTGAGCATCTTTGCTGCTTTTGGATTGAGATGGCGAATCAAGGCTTCACTTCCTCTCTCTTCTGTCTTTAGAAAGCTGTGATCGTGCGTGCAATTATTTGAAAGGCAACATAGTCAATTAAGAAACCTGTAGTTGTTAAGGAAGAAATTGTTGGCAAGATATCCATACTGCCCATATCTCGTTGGTGCAATAATTAAATAGCAAAGGAAATCTGTATTGGCAACTATTATAATTCAATAATTCTTTTGTTTACTGCCCTTTTCTGTTCAAGAATTTTCTGGAAATTACTCCCTTTCACATGGTTGAACTCTTAAGTTGACCAGTTCTCATAGCTCTATCACTAGAATGGTTTGCAGATACCCCAAACATACTATGATAAAATCAAATTGTGCTACTTTTGACCCATGTAATTTACCTAAAAGTTGTAATTGCTGACAGAGTACTGCCTTGAATTTTGGTTTAAAACCTCTCTAGTTTCAATGACAAGTAACAACTCAAATAATTCCATATTGTTTGAGGAAGAGGCCATAATCCTTCTGAATTGTTGGCACTAAGTAATGGGATTTGGCCCAGTAAGTATGACGGTCGTGTCGCCTAACCAACGCAGAGCAGTGCTTTTTGTGTGGCTGAAGCGATGTGCTGACGAAAAAAGGAAAATTCTAGGACAATCGTTGGCTAAAAATCACCTTAGGATGAAAAATTTGAGGCAAATTTTTTTAAATGACAGAAAAAGATAATCATCTCACTTGCTTGAAACAGGAGCCAGCATGATCTCTGGAAGCATCAACTATCCCTCGTCGTGATTGTTGAAAGCTCTTTCACTGTTTTGCATTCTAGTTTGAATAGTTTGTATTGAAATTGGATTCCTATCTTGTGTATGTTTTTGGTGCGTAAAAGGGAAAAATTGGTGTCATTACTTTTGAAATTTGCAGGACGAAGGGCATGCTTTTGGTTTGCTGTAAGATTGTATTCTGTATATATGTTTTCATGTAAATAAATGAAAATCTATATCAGAGTTATATTTTAATTTTTATTCTAAATGAAAAAAACCCTTTTTACTTCAAAAAAATTGTAAGCCACATTGTTAATAAAGTAAAAATAAATTCTATGGTGGTGTTTGGGTCTTTGTGTTGAAGGTCATTCAATATTATCTTTAGCGTCTGCATTAGTTATTTTGTTCTGAATTTTTTGTTTTGTTTTTGCCACACACTAAAGCCTTATTTCTAGGTTGTTAACGACCACGGCTCTCAAAGTCCTGTGTGACCTCTCAGAGTCACCTCCTAGCTCCAGAATGGAACTTTCTGGTCGAGGAACTTGTGTTTATTCTTTTTAGTTGTTAAAACATTCTCGTGTATCCTCACACAACTACCTCTAGCCCTCCCACTTTCAATCATTTCCGTTATTCTGGGATTTCCTGATGCCTTAGTAGAAAGACTGCTTTATTACTATGAGAGCAATAATTAAATAACCACATTTACATTTATCATTTTTCTTTAAGTGTCACACATAGGTTTTAGGCAATGAAGTTGGGATAGGAAGAGAGACCTTTGCCATCCTACCCCATCTCTCGGATCTCTCGCAGGCAGAACCTGTCCCCTTCCTCTGTCACCACAGGTTCAGGTAGCGTCTCCTAGGGACAGGGTTAAGGGAGAAGGAAAGCATCTCCTAGGGACAGAGTTGAGGGAGAAGAGGAGAAAAAGCACTGAGGTAACGGAGGTGGAGGAGTGTTGAACGATTTCTTTTTTTCATACATCCCAGATGATTTCAAGTATCTTGCTTCACCTTGTTTTTTACTTTATTGCTTTCTTTTTAGAGACAGGCTCTCGCTCTGTCACCCCAGAGTGCAGTGGTGCAGTCATTTACTTCTCTTTAAATATTATTTTTGCTCTGATGGCAATCACATTCTACATATAGAAATTTTTCTTTTGTTTTAATTATGGAAACTTTTTTTTTGAGACAGGGTCTCACTGTCACCCAGGCTAGAGTACAGTGGCATGATCACGGCTCTCTGGAGCCTCAAACGCCTGGGCTTAGGTGATCCTCCCACCTTAGCCTCCTGAGTAGCTGGGACCACAGGCATGCCACCACATCTGGCTGGGAAACTTTTTTTAATAGGAAAAATGAGGCCTAAGAGGGCAAAATGGGAAACATATTGTTCATTTCCTCAAAATACACCGGAAGCAAATAGATAAAGGGTGAAATGGCTGAGTAAATAGGATGGTTGTACTTCAATTTTGCACCTGAAGATCTTTGAGAAGAGAAAGACCAAAGATATAAGAGAGTGGAAGCTGAACTCTGTTTTGCACCTCTAAATTGAATGAATCAAGGCAAGAAAGAAAATCTGTATTTCTTTTCATGTTACCACCGAAAACCTATTTTTAATTCTTCTGCTCTTTAGTGAGGCTGTTTGCTCAGTTCACTGGAAGTTACTTCCCCTTTGTCTTGGGGTTTGTGCTGTGACTATTTCAAGTCTGTGAAAGAGCATGATGCTTACTGGAGTTTCAAGGACTGTGTTTAAAGAAATGCCGTTTATGTCAATGTGACCTTGGGTGATTCCATGTGAAGACTGGACATATTATCAGTTTGGTGAAAATACAACATCAAAATAATAGATGGGATGCAAAGGTTTACTTGGGGATAGTTTCATCAAGAGGTTTTTATGTTGTCAGCCCAAGCCTGGGTTATAACACATTCCATTTAATGCAGTTCATTTGTTGTGTCAAAGTATGTTGTTTTGTGTTCTCTATAACTAATATGTCTAAATGGTGCATCATAGTAATAAGTAAAAAGGAAACTCTTCCTTTGTTATTCTGAAGTCCGATCAACACACAGTGACCACTACCACCATGTCTTCCCACCAACCCCAAAATTTCTTTTATCATAGGTATTGCCATCTTTTGCTTAGAATTTTTGGAATAGGAGATGTACATTGGCTAGGAGAAAGAGTACAAACGTTGCACTTTTTACTAGGTTCAAATACTCATTCTACTACGTGCAAGGTATGTTGTACAAAGCCTCAGTTTTCTTTTCTGTAAGAGGTGGATAGTGCTACTCCTACATGGTTGGTAGGAGGATTGGATGTTAGATAAACATTGTGTGATTCTAGGCAGAGTTAGCATGAGGTAGTGAACCAGATTCCCAGCATCACTGGGCACCATCAACTCCTGGGCCTTTGAGCACTTGCTCATTGGAACATCCTGGCTGCCACTACCATTGTCTCCTTCACATCCACCTTGGCAGAAACTTCAGCCACCAGTCCCAATCCAATTAAGTCATTGAGAGTTTGGGCCCTACCCACCAAACTTAGATTCAAATGAAGTACACACCATGGTGTGCAGGATTTGGCTTCCCCAACAGTCAACCAGAAGGGCTGCGTGACACCACTCTCAGGTAAAGCAGAATTTGTGTCCCAGGGTACCAGCTTGGATCAGTGAGAGATGGGAGGGAGCTAGCAGCAGTGTCCTTTCCCTTTCCCTGGATGATGTATTCTGAAAAATGGTAGTTTTGTTTAGCCTGACTAGAAACCTTGAGAGAGAAACCTTAAGCTGAGGTCAACTCTATAACGTACCACCTGGTATTTGCTTTCCAGCCCTACCTGCCTCAATGTCTATTTTCCCTTATTCCTGCTGCCTCGATGTTTCATTCCACAATAAAATATTAGCACATATGCTTTGCCTCAGACTTTGTTATCTTTGAAGCCCAGATAAGACAATTTGTGCAAGAAGCTTATAAAACAGCTTCTCAGCTAGGAGTTTGCAGTCAGATTGCCACCTCTCTGAAAGCAGTAGGGACCCTTTTGCTCTTGGTAAGTAGGGGATAATAATCCTGACACTCTGGCATCATAGTCACTAAAGCTTTTGCTTCTGGTTGAGTGCACAGCAGGTGGAAGGCATGGGTGTGGGAGATTAACTGGCCACTGCTTATAGTAGGGGCAATGATATTAATGAAGACATCTCTATGGTTTTTGCTTTTATTCTCTTGTTTAAGAAAACGTATCTATTCCTAGGACATAGACATATTCTCCTTTATTTTCTTTTAAAAGTTTATGTTTTGTTTTCCCCAAACTCTCTAGAATTTTCTTTGTGGCGGTACTACCAGTATTATCCAAAGTGGTTCAAGTGCAGTGGGTCACCCGTGTAATCTCAGCACTTTGGGAGGCCAAGGCAGGAGCATCACTTGAGCCCAGGCATTTGAGACTACAGTGAGACCACATCTCTACAAAAAAAAAAAAAAAAAAAAAAAAAAAAATGGAAATAATTAGCTGGGAATGTTGATGCTTGCCTGTGGTCCCAGCTACTTGGGAAGTTGAGGTGAGAAGATCACTTGAGCCCAGGAGTTAGAGGCTGCAGTGAGCCAAGATCGCACCACTGCACTCCAGCCTGGGCGACATAGTGAGACTCTACATCTAAACACACACACACACACAAAGTGTTAGCGCTAGCTTCCACTCCTGGCATAGGAAATTCATCCCTGCTCTGCACCTTGACAACATGCAGTGGTGTTTTTCATGATTGCTAATCTGACAAGTGTGCAATGATGTGGAATGCACATGTAGGCCAGTGAAATTGCCCTATTCTATTCTAATTGCCCAGGGTCTATCCTTTCCCCATTGACTGGCCATCCCACGTGTCATATTTCAAGTTTACATTCAAGTGCAGGTCTACGTCAGGTCAATATTTGGTTTCATTGGTGTGTGCGTCTATCCTGATCAATGCTGTCATCACACTATCTAATAACCCCTGTTACTTGGTAAAGGAAATTTTCCTGCCTTATTGTTTCTATTCAAAGTTGTCTTGCTTATTCTTGATATTTTATTCTTCACTATGAATTTAGACTTGTTCAAGTCTAGAGAAAACTTTGTTAGGGTATTGATTGGATTTGTATTAATTAAATTTATAAAAATTTGGGGACAATTGACTTCTTTTATACTATTGACTATGCAGAAGAGGATATAATTTTTAATTTATTCGTGTATTTTACATGTCCTTCAATGAGGTTATGTTTTTCTCTGTAAAAGTCTTGCATGTATTTTGTTAAATGTTTTCTAAATGCTTTATAATTTTTTACTATCTTTTTTTCTGTTATGTTTTGTTCATTATTACTGAAACTCTACTTTTTTTAATATTCTAATATTCTATACAGCAACTTTAGTGAACTCAACTGAAAGGGAATTTCAGTTCTGAATTTTTTGGGTTTTTCTTAGCCTGAGATGGTTTGTGTGTCCTTGGAATTTTGGTTTGTGAGTGGGAGATTTTTGTTTTGTTTTCGATTTATTTCTCCTTCTCTCTCTTGTTTATTGAATTGCTGGTTTTACATTTGCTTCTGTTCATCTCATAGGCTGAATAAATAGAATCAGATCTTTTTTTTTTTTTTTTTTTGGACATGATTGAAATTTGCTTTAAACATTTCTTTGCGGGAGATGACACCACACTTCTACTCAATGAAGAAAAACATTTTTACAGTCCAGAGGTCTTTTATTTTTTTAACACCCATTATGCCATGAATTCACAGAGAAGAGGTTCAGGCAGCTCAAGCTCCTTCCTGTTAATTCTCACAAAGTGGGCTTCTCTGGGTGGAACAAGCTGGCGCTTCAGCTGAACCCAGATATCTTTCCCTTGGTTTTAAAAATCTTCATTCATGCTTTCACATGAAGCTGTAGATCATTCATTTCCATTGTTCCCTGGTATCCTATTGTAGGGATATGCCACAGTTGATTTATCTGTCCAACACACACACATACACACACACACACACACACACACACTGCTGTACTTACTGTCATATACTAGTGCTATGCCAGGAAGAGACTGTTGAGCCATTAGTAGTGAGTCATCTATCTTGGAATCCTTGCTTTCATTATACCTTAGCATTGCATATGTGGTCTTTTTCCCTTCATCCAGGTGCCAACATTATCTGTCCAGCTATACAAGAAGCCCCTTAAGAGATGATTTTTGGTGTCATTGAATCTTTGCTGAGCTCACAATCCTCACTCACAGAATCTCATGTTTTATCTGGTTAGGTGTTCTCATTCCCATGTCAAAAAAGAAGCAACTGAAGCCTGAACAATTTGCACAACTTGCCCAAGATCGCACAGCTCAGTCTCACCCTCAACTGGGTGTTTAGCAAACAGCTATTGACTAGAGCTGGAAGGAACGTGGTCAAACAGTCTCTTCCTCAACTGGGTGTTTAACAGCTGGGTGTTTAGCAAACTTATTGATTAGAGCTGGAAAGGACGTGGTCAAAAGCTTGAGATGCATGAATAAAAGGAGAAAAAGATGCAGATGGAAAGTTCAGATCAAATGGTTTCATCTTAGGAATTCAAGGATTTTTGTCTGGCTAGAAAAGAGAAAATAGATGCAAGAAAATCCTTCTCACTTCCTTGATCACCAGGGACAACTGTTTCTACTGCGCTCCCAGCCCCTTGGATTGTGGTGTCATCATGTTAACTCAGCTGGGTATTTCTATCTGGAACCTGTTGCTATTTAGAATGTCAGCTTCTATGACAGGCTAAAGGTCTCCCCCTCCATGCAAGCCACGCAGATCCCATTAGCAGCACTAACCACATTTGAGCGAGAGGCCCCCATGCTCCACTTGGAACAAGGCATCCTTTTATGTAATTTAGCATCTGATGAGAAACAATTGTGGGAGACAAGTGCTTCTTTTATGGGGACAGGTCCTTATGAAAGATGGAAGAGCAAATGCTGTAGTAGCTCCTCTGGTAGCAATATCACCCCAGAGGGGGATGATGTGTATTTGTTTCAAGAAAAGAACCTTCATGAGCGCAAAGGGGAAAAAATGAGAACAGCCAGTAATGCAGATGAGAAATCTGAATGGTGGTTAAGTCTAATCACTAGCAAAGTGTGACAACTCCAAGTCATTACCTTAAATCAGCATTCTCCAAGACATGTTAGCCACAATGTGCTCCAAATCCAGAGCAGTGGAGCAAAAATATATCCTAGTAAAATAGCTAAAATTTACTGCGTATTCACCTGTGCCAGGCACTACCTGTTTAGGTCTTTATTCAGATAATTCGCCCTCCAGGAATTTCAGTGCCTGCCTTCTACTTCATATCCTTCTTTGCTTTGTTTTCTTTTCCCTTCCTAGCTCTTATCACTTTCAAATATACTATGAGTCATCCTTATCTCTCTCTTATATATTTTTTGTCTCCCCCACCAGAGTGTAAGCTCGATGAGGGCAGGTATAATTTGGTCTGTGTGTTTTTTTTTTTTTTTTTTTCCTCTTCTGCTCTATCTTTAGCATCCAATACAGAGCAGGTGCTCAACTAACATTTGTTGAATGATTGAGTGTGCTAAGATCTATCCATGAGTTATCTTCTTGAATCATCACAACCATTCTTTGAGGTGGGTACTATTTCCCCCACTGATAGCAGAGGAAAATGAGGTTTAGGAAAGTAACTTGTCCATGATCAGAAAGATTGTCAGGGAATCAGGATCAGAACTCAAGTCTCTCCAAGTCCAGAATGTTCTTACTCGCTCCTCTAAGAGTTATGAGATGGGAGGAAAAGAGCTCACATTAGGATGATAAGCAGATCCTTTTGTGCAGAGGTGTTTTTGCCTAATTTTCAGAATGATCAAACTGTATTGGGAGGCATGTAGCCTCCCAATATACTGTATATTGTATTGGGAGGCATGTAGCCTCCCAATATATTGTATTGGGAATACAATATAGCCTATTTCTAGCCTAAAAATATCACATCAGTTATATCTATCAGTGCTCTTAAAAACAGTATCTCTTAAGCCACTTAGTTTATCTTCTAGCAAGGGTCCTTTGCAGCAAGGTTTGGCAAAAAGGAAGGAGAATGCTATGTGAACTAATATTTATGGAGCAGACACCATGTCCAAAATTCTTAATATTTATTACGTCCAGATTGTTTATATCATCCAGTCCTGACCACAACCCTGTGAAATGTGCAATCTGAGTTATGATTCCCTCATCCATGTTTACCCAGCACCCCGAGCTTATCTTTATCCACAGTGTTTATTTCACGTTTCTGGCTACTGACTTATCTTCCTCACGGCACTGTGCATTTCTTGAAGGTAGGCACTGTTGCTTGTTCCTTGTTGAATCTTCAGAATCCAGCCTGTTGCCTGGCTCCCAGCACTTAATAAATGCTTTAAATAGCAAAATGAATGACTTGTTGCATAGTGTCTAATTTGGAAAATGGAGTTCAGCTAATCTTGGAGGTTTTACAATTTAAAGAAATGAGGCCATCACATACATAAAGAACTGGAAAATAATGCAAGCTATGACATAGTCTGATGCTTGATGGTGTGGTGTACCCATTATAAAAAGCAAGGGCTGCAAAGAAGGGAAGGGTGATCATGGGCTGAGGTGAGCCACGGGAAGATTCATTTCTCGACTCACTTACTGAGTACATTCTCAACCTTACAGTGTGTCATTAAATCTCTTGGGTATGGACATTAAAAGGCATGATCCGGCCGCGCCTGGTGGCTCACACCTGTAATCCCAGCACTTTGCGAGGCTGAGATGGACGGATCACAAGGTCAGGAGTTAAAGACCAGCCAGGCCAATATGGTGAAACCCCGTCTCTACTAAAAATACAAAAATTAGCTGGGCGCGCATGTAGTCCCAGCTACTCGGGAGGCTGAGGCAGGAGAATCGCTTTAACCTGGGAGGCAGAGGTTGCAGTGAACCCAGATTGTGACACTACACTCTAGCCTGGGCGACAGAGAGAGACTCCATCTCAAAAAAAAAAAAAAAAAAAAAAAGCCATGATCCTTGACCTCAAGCCATGCACACTCTGATGGAAAAGTCCAAGTCTATGCCTTGAGTGCATACCCCGCCCGCCACACCTTCCCTGAAGACTGTTTTTCCTGATAGACGCTTGTCTGTGCCGCACAATCAGGGCAGACAGAACTCAGTGGTTGTTACTTACCCAATCTGATTATAAAAAAATTGGAACCAGGAGACCCAGAGATTATAGCAAGTTGATTTTTTAAAAAATTTATCTCAAACTGGTGCCATTGCAAACCCAAGCCATTTGAGTGCCAAAACCTGGGTAAACAGAGAAAGCTGGTTAACGGACAGAGAAAAAGAAAGTGGGCATGTCTTAGGTCAATTTCCCTGGAAGCAGAACCTGAGATGGGGATTCCCTCAGGGGAAACCTGCAGCGTGCTGAGGGAGGTGGAGAGTGCACACAGGTAGCTGGGCAAAGAGGTGGTTTCTGCTGAGCCTTCAGCCTGGTCTCATGGGGAGCTCCGGGTATGAATGGCACCACAGAGCATCTCTGTGTAAGATTAATTGCACTAAGTCTATTTAAAAATAATCTCACAGGGCCAAGCATGGTGGCTTATGTCCATAATCCCAGCACCCCGGGAGGCTGAGACAGGAGGATCACTTGAGGCTAGGAGTTCAAGATCAGCTTGGGCAACATTGCAAGACCCTGTCTCTACAAAAAGATTTAAAAATTAACCGGGTTGGGTGGTGCCCGCCTGTAGTCCCAGGCACTTGAGAGGCTGGGGTGGGAGGATCACTTGAGTCCAGGAGTTGGAAGGTGTGGTGAGCTAGGATCTCACTACTGCACTACAGCCTGGGTAACAGCATGAGGCTCTGTGTCAAAATTACAATAAGAATCACCATCGCGGTCATCATCATCATGATCATCAGCACCATCAATCATCATCATCTCACAAGGAAAAAGCAGAGTAGAATGAATAAGTCAGGAATAAATGAATACCTCTGTCTTTCCCACGCAGACGCAGCATGATTTTGTAAGGGGATCATATAGCAGATTCAGACTAAAGCACTCTTTGTCCACTAACCATCCAGAGGATATGAGGCTGAAAGAGATCTTGGAATTTCAAGGAAAACTTACTTATCAGCACAACTTTTGTTTTAATCTGAAGAAAACAAAGTGTTTTTTTCACTGACAGATTCTGAATACCTCCACTGGGACTCAGTTAATATTGGGGAGTGAAAGAATCTATCCTTCTTAAAAAACAGTAGATCATTCCCCCAATTTTCCTTTAAGTCTTTTCTTCTCAGTTCTTTTTTTTTTTTGAGAAAGGGTCTTGCTGTATCACCCAGGCTGTAGTGCAGTGGTGCCATCTTAGCTCACTGCAACCTCTGCCTCCTGGGTTCAAGTGATTCTCATGCCTCAGCCTCCCCAGCAACTGGGACTACAGGTGTGCGCCACCATGCCTGGCTAATTTTTGTATTAGAGAGGGTTTCACCATGTTGGCCAGGCTGGTCTCAAACTCCTGGCCTCAGGTAATCTGCCTGCCTCGGCCTCCCAAAGTGCTGGGATGATAGGTGTGAGCCACTGCGCCCAGCCTCTTTTCTCAATTTTAAAAAGCATAAATAATTGAAGTTGGAGTAACTTTTTTTTTTTTTTTTTTTTGAGATGGAGTCTCGCTCTGTCACCCAGGCTGGGGTGCAGTGGTGCGATCTCGGCTCACTGCAAGCTCCGCCTCCTGGGTTCACGCCATTCTCCTGCCTCAGCCTCCCGAGTAGCTGGGACTACAGGCACCCGCCACCATGCCCGGCTAATTTTTTGTATTTTTAGTAGAGACAGGGTTTCACCATGTTAGCCAGGATGGTCTCGATCTCCTGACCTCGTGATCCGCCCACCTCGGCCTCCCAAAGTGCTGGGATTACAGGCATGAGCCACCGCACCCGGCCACATTTTTTAAAAAAATGTTGTAGTTGGGAGTTAGAAGATAATTGCCAGCCTCAGCATGTTCTATGCCATTTCCAGCTCATGATCAAGCATGAAAAAGGGTCTTTATAATAGAAACTAATTCACAGTGGATCCTTTTTCTTATCCTTTCCACAGGATGTTGTCCAGCTGTCATATCTAAAGTCATTCTACCTAATAATTTACTTATTTAAATCTATTGCAGATTAATTATTTGCAACAGAGCCTTTAGCAGGTAAACATGGTGCTAGAGGAATCTTTAAGATGGAGATTAGCAAAGTATGTGCTGGGATCACTGTCTTAGGAGGACAGCAAGAAAATAGGATTCTGTCTTCAGATACGTTTAGAAAACACTCTATACCACATTCCAGATATGAGCAATCATGGTAAAGAAATCTGCTTAATCAAGTTAACCCAGCAGTTGCAAAACGTATTTAATCATGGAACCCCTTTTCATGTAAAGTACATTAGCTTTGCAAAGAATGAATATTACACAGTGAACCACTGGGAAATTCTGAACGAGACCAACCCCCACATTTGATCAGTAAGGAAACTCATCAGATTAGTATTTCAACAATATTTACAGAGTCCCTGATGCTAGCAAAAGTCCTAGGATCTGGGGATGAGAGTGAATACTCATACACCCAACGTTTAAGTAATTCCCTGGGGTCTAGAAGGAAGCATTTAGCTCAGAGACAATAAGGTGGCGGCTGTTAAATGTGACCGTGGGGAATATGCCAGTGAGAGCACCAGAGGGAAGAAGGAGGGTGCACCCTGTTCTGGGAGAGGGGCTGCACCTGGAAGGAGGGCTCAACCCATTCTCTGAGAGGGGCTGCACCTGGAAGGAGGACTCACCCTGTTCTGGGAGAGGGGCTGCACCTGGAAGGAGGACTCACCCTGTTCTGGCAGAGGGGCTGCACCTGGAAGGAGGACTCACCCTGTTCTGGGAGAGGGGCTGCACCTGGAAGGAGGACTCACCCTGTTCTGGCAGAGGGGCTGCACCTGGAAGGAGGACTCACCCTGTTCTGGGAGAGGGGCTGCACCTGGAAGGAGGACTTACCCTGTTCTGGGAGAGGGGCTGCACCTGGAAGGAGGGCTTACCCTGTTCTCTGAGAGGGGCTGCGTCTGGAAGGAGGGCACACCCTGTTCTCTGAGAGGGGCTGTGCCTGGAAGGAGGGCGCACCCTGTTCTGGGAGAGGGGCTGCACCTGGAAGGAGGACTTACCCTGTTCTGGGAGAGGGGCTGCACCTGGAAGGAGGACTCACCCTGTTCTGGGAGAGGGGCTGCACCTGGAAGGAGGACTTACCCTGTTCTGGGAGAGGGGCTGCACCTGGAAGGAGGGCTTACCCTGTTCTCTGAGAGGGGCTGTGCCTGGAAGGAGGGCGCACCCTGTTCTGGGAGAGGGGCTGTGCCTGGAAGGAGGACTCACCCTGTTCTGGGAGAGGGGCTGTGCCTGGGCTCAGTGGTCACCAGGGAGGTCACAAGGAAGTGAAAGCTTGAGCTGGACTTTGTAGGATGAAGAGGAGTTGACCCACTGTGGCCCTCTGCTCTGCCAAAGGGCCACAGTAGGTCAACTCCTGTATATCCTACAAAGATCCTTCCCATCCTTTGAAAACCAACTGGGACATTCCCTCTGGGAAGCCTTCCTCACCTTTGCACTTGCATTCCTTGGCTCTGGTGCAAATATACAAAGTTCATGGGGGAGGGGTAACTTACAAGCAAAGAGGAGTTAGAGGTCATAGCATCTGCGACTTCTCTTTACCCTGCAGTTTAGACAGGGCATATGTGGACAGTATACTCTGGCCAATGTTCAAAAACAGAGGGAAGTTCCATTGTGAATCAGTTCTACGCATTTGCAGTTCTGGGGGTCCAGCACATCTACATGACTGTGACAATGGAAGCTTCCTGGTTGGGGAAATGGCCTTTTTAGAAAGGGGAGCTTCCGGAACTGAGCTAACTTGGACCCCTGGAGCCAGCTTTCTCGTAAGTACCCAAATAAGCCTCTGGACATCCTGATTTCTCATCTAACTACAATGCCTTATAGGAATTATGTCATTTAATCCTTCAACAGCCTTATGAGGCATTCTCTATTACTCTTCCCATTTTACATATGAGCAACTGAGATATAGAGAAGTTAAACCACTAGCTTATGGTCAGCAACTAGTAACTGACAGACCAGGGACTTGACCTCTATGATATAGTGCCTTTTAATACACAATCTTGGGCCGGGCGCGGTGGCTCACACCTATAATCCCAGCACTTTGGGAGGCTGAGGCAGGCGGATCACCTGAGGTCAGGAGTTCAAGAGCAGCCTGGCCAACATGGCAAAATCCCGTCTCTACTAAAAATACAAAAATTAGCCACGCATGGTGACGGGCACCTGTAATCCCAGCTACTCAGGAGGCTGAGGCAGGAGAATCACTTGAACCTGGGAAGCAGAGGCTGCAGTGAGCCATGATTGCACCCTTGTACTTCAGCCTGGGTGACAGAGTAAGACTCCATCTCCAAAAAAAATAAAATAAAATAAAACACGATCTTAAACCACACTACTAGCATATATATATCTTGTAGATTGCTTCTAAAGTTTTACATATTTATCATTATTATTTTCTGCTACATATGTTTGTTGCCTATGCATAGTGTTGAATGCATGAAAATTTCGCAATAACCACTCTAATGGGTAAGAAAAATGAAGCTGAAAAAAGTTCCCTTAGCTACTCTGTTAATTTTTGCTCTCTGGTTTAAAGAACTAGGACTTTGAAGAAGGAGCCTGAAAAAAAAAAATCCTTCAAGGATCCAGCGAGCCAGCAGCCCAGAATATTGCAGAAAAGAGTATTTTCAGCACTCAGCTCCAAGTAGGCATTCAATAAATACTCGCTGACTTGATAGAATTAAACAAACAGATTTTCCTGATTGACATGACATCCACTCTAATTGCAAACCTATTTGAGGAACAACTTGATGAAGCAAAGCAAAATTAAATGTGCCGCTGTGAAAGCGGTATAACGGTATTAGAACCTTTTAGTTGCTGGGCTGGAAGGGAGCTGAGGAGAACGTTGTTAAGTGTGGAGAATGTACAGGCAAGGACCAAATAGAATTTCTTTGACTTAATAATTTTTGAAAACTATTTATACAATTCATATATTAAATGCTGTGGAAATTGTTTTGAGTCTTGCGAGAGAGTTACTGCATTTAATCCCCACATAAATCTAGGTACATTTGTAAGGCAATTGCAGCATACAGCAAACTTATAATAACTGCATCTCCCACATTTCTTATTTCAGCATTAAAATAAATAATATTTACGATTACATTTTTGAAAATGTTGTCGTACCAAGATGAAATCAAATAGTTAAGCTTCAGGGGAGAAAAGAGAAATAGACTGGGAAGGTGCTGTAACAAATGATGATGCTGAGTTGGTATTCTTGAGCAATAACTGTGATCTTTTCTATTTTCAATTGAAATGCAGCCCTCCGAGATTCTTCCAGTGTTTGGGAAGTCAAATTGTCTTATGAAATTGTGCAGAAATTGACAGATTCCAAACAAATAGAGACAGTAATCATTGGAGAATGCACAACAATCTGGCAATATGGAAATTACAAATTATAATATTTTCCCCCTGAGTAAATGAAATATGCAAAAGAACAACTGCATAATACAACACAGTTTGTGTAGTCCCTGGGTAGCTACTGTTAGCAAGCTATTTTATCACAGTTGTATACTTCCTTGGTTAATAATGAATGCACAAAATTAACTTTAAAATGAATTATAAAATTCTTTCAAAGTTCAATTTTTACATAAAATGCCATCGGGAAGTATCAAAATACGGTGGCAACCCATGACATAAATCTTTTAAAATGTCTGTGCACCTCACTGAACATTCTGCATTTTACTAACTCTTATTTATGTCAGGGAATTTTCCTAATCTGTTTTCATCCTATTACTGTACATAGTAATCTTGGCCCTAAAGAAATAGAAAAATTTAGCTCTGCCAGAAATATTTTTACAACCTTGATATTATCTTAATAAGATTGCATCTTACTGTGTTTATCTCTGGGATATAATATGGAAATCCAGTACTGGTAGCTATGATAATATTAATTCATTCTTTATTCAACAATACTTTGGTGAATGTTCTCTACTTATAAGCCCCTGAGCTCAGGGTTATGAGAGTATGTCATAAGCAGAGCACACAGATCTGCCTTTTAGGAGTTTACAGCCATCTAAAGAGCAGGTGGAATGAGACTTTTAAACATTGGTCGTGTTCTCTTTCTCAAAACTACCTTCACTGTGAGGTCAACATCCTTGGCCAACTGTTGATTACTCAGGAAGCTCACTCATCTTCTGGTCTTTGAAGTCGCTGCCTTGTTGATTTCACTGCTCATCACTTTCCCCCACACTAAAAGGACACAAACCAGGGACAATTCACATCAATCAGGATGTGAGAAATTTGATAAAAGCTCTGTAGGGAAATGTCCGAACCTTGTGAGTGTTGAAGATTGCCTTCTTTCCTTCATGTGAGTAAGTTAGAATTGCCATATTTGGTGAACTGCTCATGTCCCAGATCTACCAGGTAACATCTGGTGTGGGCAAACAGTCTTTATTTATTATCATCTTGCAATAGCCAACTCTAGCTTTATTACTATTTCCTATAAAGCTTTGTGTAAATCTCAGTTTCTCCTCATATGAAATTGGAAACTTATGCTCTTCAACTACACATCTCCTAATGAAAATGAGTCAAATGATGTTTACAGAGATGGGATGTCAACCCAAAGGAAACTTCTGGAATGTAGAGACCAACAAGAGGCTGAGACTGAAAGACTATACCAGAGGGAACACTCACGGAACCAGGGCAAACCAAGTGGCCATGTCCTTGTAGTCAAGCAAGCCTGGAATGCTCAGGCAAGTACCAAGTGCCAGAGGAGGGTAAATGTGCTAAGGATAGCAATAATTCCCAAACATTCCCTCTAAAAGGAGTTCTAGACAGAGACAAGAGTATGAGTGATAAAGGTACGAGCATCAGGCGGGGTGCGGTGGCTCACGCCCGTAATCACAGCACTTCAGGAGGCCGAGGCAGGTGGATCACCTGAGGTCAGGACTTCAAGACGAGACTGGCCAACATAGTGAAACCCCACCTCTACTAAAAATACCAAAAATAGTTGGGCATGGTGGCATATGCCTGTAGTTTCAGCTACGAGGGAGGCTGAGGCAAGAGGATTGCTTGAACCCAGGAGGTGGAGGGTGCAGTGAGCCAAGATTGTGCCAATGCACTCCAGCCTGGGCGACAGAGCAAGACCCTGTCTCAAAAATAAAAAAAAAAAAGAGGCACACGCATCAAACAGACCCCAGAAACTTAATCAGGGAGACTCCATGTGCCTTCTGATAGATGCAGAGCCAGTTACCAAAGACTAATGGAGAGTCAGAATGATGGAGTTTTCTAGAACTTGGCAGAACTAGAGCAGACCCTGTTATGATATCCCATAGATGTCTACTGTCAGGATATCCCATAGATGTCCACTTTCTACTCGATCTTTATAATGCTTAAAAGGCATGAAAGCAGGAAACTACCTTTAATGTATACAAGGTATATGAAAATGAATGCTCAATTTGTTGGAAGGGGAGTCTTGCATAAATGTTTAGTGGACTGTTGAGAATTAAACTAAGACATGTGGATAGAAGGAGCAAATTAAAATAAAGTGTGCACCTCTGAAAAATGCTAAAGATTGTAATTCAGAAATCATTTATCCTGGACTATTTTTAAAATGTAATTCAGTAAACAGCTACTATTGTTTGATGCTCTCGGATTGTACAGTTCATGAAAAATGGAAGGTACTGATTCTCAAAGACTGCATACTGAGGTGGCAAAGTCAATGAATAAGCAGAACAATAGATCCGGATGAAGAGAGCTGATGATGGCCCCTCTGGGGTGTGTGGGAGGCTGCTAGGTCAAGAAGGTGATTTGAGAAGGTGGATACCAGGTTGAAGGTTGGAATGCAAGAGATAGGGCATGCTGAGCAGGCAAGGAGGAAGGGTGAGCACAGGTGAATGTGAACAAGAGGGAAGCTCATGGTTGGGATTCAGTGATCATTTTTTTTTCTTTTTTTTTCTTTATTATACTTTAAGTTTTAGGGTACATGTGCACATTGTGCAGGTTACTTACATATGTATACATGTGCCATGCTGGTGTGCTGCACCCACTAACTCGTCATCTAGCATTAGGTATATCTCCCGATGCTATCCCTCCCCCCTCCCCCCACCCCACCACAGTCCCCAGAGTGTGATATTCCCCTTCCTGTGTCCATGTGATCTCATTGTTCAATTCCCACCTATGAGTGAGAATATGTGGTGTTTGGTTTTTTGTTCTTGCAATAGTTTACTGAGAATGATGATGTCCAATTTCATCCATGTCCCTACAAAGGACATGAACTCATCATTTTTTATGGCTGCATAGTATTCCATGGTGTATATGTGCCACATTTTCTTAATCCAGTCTATCATTGTTGGACATTGGGGTTGGTTCCAAGTCTTTGCTATTGTGAATAATGCCGCAATAAACATACGTGTGCATGTTTCTTTATAGCAGCATGATTTATAGTCCTTTGGGTATATACCCAGTAATGGGATGGCTGGGTCAAATGGTATTTCTAGTTCTAGATCCCTGAGGAATCGCCACACTGACTTCCACAATGGTTGAACTAGTTTACAGTCCCACCAACAGTGTAAAAGTGTTCCTATTTTTCCACATCCTCTCCAGCACCTGTTGTTTCCTGACTTTTTAATGATTGCCATTCTAACTGGTGTGAGATGATATCTCATTGTGGTTTTGATTTGCATTTCTCTGATGGCCAGTGATGATGAGCATTTTTTCATGTGTTTTTTGGCTGCATAAATGTCATCTTTTGAGAAGTGTCTGTTCATGTCCTTTGCCCACTTTTTGATGGGGTTGTTTGTTTTTTTCTTGTAAATTTGTTTGAGTTCGTTGTAGATTCTGGATATTAGCCCTTTGTCAGATGAATAGGTTGCCAAAATTTTCTCCCATTTTGTAGGTTGCCTGTTCACTCTGATGGTAGTTTCTTTTGCTGTGCAGAAGCTCTTTAGTTTAATTAGATCCCATTTGTCAATTTTGTCTTTGGTTGCCATTGCTTTTGGTGTTTTAGACATGAAGTCCTTGCCCATGCCTATGTCCTGAATGGTAATGCCTAGGTTTTCTTCTAGGGTTTTAATGGTTTTAGGTCTAACGTTTAAGTCTTTAATCCATCTTGAATTGATTTTTGTATAAGGTGTAAGGAAGGGATCCAGTTTCAGCTTTCTACATATGGCTAGCCAGTTTTCCCAGCACCATTTATTAAATAGGGAATCCTTTCCCCATTGCTTGTTTTTCTCAGGTTTGTCAAAGATCAGATAGTTGTAGATATGCGGCGTTATTTCTGAGGGCTCTGTTCTGTTCCATTGATCTATATCTCTGTTTTGGTACCAGTACCATGCTGTTTTGGTTACTGTAGCCTTGTAGTATAGTTTGAAGTCAGGTAGTGTGATGCCTCCAGCTTTGTTCTTTTGGCTTAGGATTGACTTGGTGATGCGGGCTCTTTTTTGGTTCCATATGAACTTTAAAGTAGTTTTTTCCAATTCTGTGAAGAAAGTCATTGGTAGCTTGATGGGGATGGCATTGAATCTGTAAATTACCTTGGGCAGTATGGCCATTTTCATGATATTGATTCTTCCTACCCATGAGCATGAAATGTTCTTCCATTTGTTTGTATCCTCTTTTATTTCCTTGAGCAGTGGTTTGTAGTTCTCCTTGAACAGGTCCTTCACATCCCTTGTAAGTTGGATTCCTAGGTATTTTATTCTCTTTGAAGCAATAGTGAATGGGAGTTCACTCATGATTTGGCTCTCTGTTTGTCTGTCATTGGTGTCTAAGAATGCTTGTGATTTTTGTACATTGATTTTGTATCCTGAGACTTTGCTGAAGTTACTTATCAGCTTAAGGAGATTTTGGGCTGAGACAATGGGGTTTTCTAGATATACAATCATGTCATCTGCAAACAGGGACAATTTGACTTCCTCTTTTCCTAACTGAATACCCTTTATTTCCTTCTCCTGCCTAATTGCCCTGGCCAGAACTTCCAACACTATGTTGAATAGGAGTGGTGAGAGAGGGCATCCCTGTCTTGTGCCAGTTTTCAAAGGGAATGCTTCCAGTTTTTGCCCATTCCGTATGATATTGGCTGTGGGTTTGTCATAGATAGCTCTTATTATTTTGAAATACGTCCCATCAATACCTAATTTATTGAGAGTTTTTAGCATGAAGGGTTGTTGAATTTTGTCAAAGGCTTTTTCTGCATCTATTGAGATAATCATGTGGTTTTTGTCTTTGGCTCTGTTTATATGCTGGATTACATTTATTGATTTGCGTATATTGAACCAGCCTTGCATCCCAGGGATGACGCCCACTTGATCATGGTGGATAAGCTTTTTGATGTGCTGCTGGATTCGTTTTGCCAGTATTTTATTGAGGATTTTTGCATCAATGTTCATCAAGGATATTGGTCTAAAATTCTCTTTTTTGGTTGTGTGTCTGCCAGGCTTTGGTATCAGAATGATGCTGGCCTCATAAAATGAGTTAGGGAGGATTCCCTCTTTTTCTATTGATTGGAATAGTTTCAGAAGGAACGGTACCAGTTCCTCCTTGTACCTCTGGTAGAATTCGGCTGTGAATCCATCTGGTCCTGGACTCTTTTTGGTTGGTAAGCTATTGATTATTGCCACAATTTCAGCTCCTGTTATTGGTCTATTCAGAGATTCAACTTCTTCCTGGTTTAGTCTTGGGAGAGCGTATGTGTCCAGGAATTTATCCATTTCTTCTAGATTTTCTAGTTTATTTGCGTAGAGGTGTTTGTAGTATTCTCTGATGGTAGTTTGTATTTCTGTGGGATCGGTGGTGATATCCCCTTTATCATTTTTTATTGCATCTATTTGATTCATCTCTCTTTTTTTCTTTGTTAGTCTTGCTAGCGGTCTATCAATTTTGTTGATCCTTTCAAAAAACCAGCTCCTGGATTCATTAATTTTTTGAAGGGTTTTTTGTGTCTCTATTTCCTTCAGTTCTGCTCTGATTTTAGTTATTTCTTGCCTTCTGCTAGCTTTTGAATGTGTTTGCTCTTGCTTTTCTAGTTCTTTTAATTGTGATGTTAGGGTGTCAATTTTGGATGTTTCCTGCTTTCTCTTGTGGGCATTTCGTGCTATAAATTTCCCTCTACACACTGCTTTGAATGTGTCCCAGAGATTCTGGTATGTTGTGTCTTTGTTCTCGTTGGTTTCAAAGAACATCTTTATTGCTGTCTTCATTTCGTTATGTACCCAGTAGTCATTCAGGAGCAGGTTGTTCAGTTTCCATGTAGTTGAGCGGTTTTGAGTGAGATTCTTAATCCTGAGTTCTAGTTTGATTGCACTGTGGTCTGAGAGATAGTTTGTTATAATTTCTGTTCTTTTACATTTGCTGAGGAGAGCTTTACTTCCCAGTATGTGGTCAATTTTGGAATAGGTGTGGTGTGGTGCTGAAAAAAATGTATATTCTGTTGATTTGGGGTGGAGAGTTCTGTAGATGTCTATTAGGTCTGCTTGGTGCAGAGCTGAGTTCAATTCCTGGGTATCCTTGTTGACTTTCTGTCTCGTTGATCTGTTTAATGTTGACAGTGGGGTGTTAAAGTCTCCCATTATTAATGTGTGGGAGTCTAAGTCTCTTTGTAGGTCATTCATGACTTGCTTTATGAATCTGGGTGCTCTTGTATTGGGTGCATATATATTTAGGATAGTTAGCTCTTCTTGTTGAATTGATCCCTTTACCATTATGTAATGGCCTTCTTTGTCTCTTTTGATCTTTGTTGGTTTAAAGTCTTTTATCAGAGACTAGGATTGCAACCCCTGCCTTTTTTTGTTTCCCATTGGCTTGGTAGATCTTCCTCCATCCTTTTATTTTGAGCCTATGTGTGTCTCTGCACGTGAGATGGGTTTCCTGAATACAGCACACTGATGGGTCTTGACTCTTTATCCAATTTGCCAGTCTGTGTCTTTTAATTGGAGTATTAAGTCCATTTACATTTAAAGTTAATATTGTTATGTGTGAATTTGATCCAGTCATTATGATGTTAGCTGGTGATTTTGCTCGTTAGTTGATGCAGTTTCTTCCTAGTCTTGATGGTCTTTACATTTTGGCATGATTTTGCAGCGGCTGGTACCGGTTGTTCCTTTCCATGTTTAGTGCTTCCTTCAGGAGCTCTTGTAAGGCAGGCCTGGTGGTGACAAAATCTCTCAGCATTTGCTTGTCTGTAAAGTATTTTATTTCTCCTTCACTTATGAAGCTTAGTTTGGCTGGATATGAAATTCTGGGTTGAAAATTCTTTTCTTTAAGAATGTTGAATATTGGCCCCCACTCTCTTCTGGCTTGTAGGGTTTCTGCCGAGAGATCCGCTGTTAGTCTGATGGGCTTCCCTTTGAGAGTAACCCGACCTTTCTCTCTGGCTGCCCTTAACATTTTTTCCTTCATTTCAACTTTGGTGAATCTGACAATTATGTGTCTTGGAGTTGCTCTTCTCGAGGAGTATCTTTGTGGCGTTCTCTGTATTTCCTGAATCTGAACGTTGGCCTGCCTTGCTAGATTGGGGAAGTTCTCCTGGATAATATCCTGCAGAGTGTTTTCCAACTTGGTTCCATCCTCCCCATCACTTTCAGGTACACCAATCAGACGTAGATTTGGTCTTTTCACACAGTCCCATATTTCTTGGAGGCTTTGCTCATTTCTTTTTATTCCTTTTTCTCTAAACTTCCCTTCTCACTTCATTTCATTCATTTCATCTTCCATTGCTGATACCCTTTCTTCCAGTTGATCGCATCGGCTCCTGAGGCTTCTGCATTCTTCACGTAGTTCTCGAGCCTTGGTTTTCAGCTCCATCAGCTCCTTTAAGCACTTCTCTGTATTAGTTATTCTAGTTATACATTCTTCTAAATTTTTTTCAAAGTTTTCAACTTCTTTGCCTTTGGTTTGAATGTCCTCCCGTAGCTCAGAGTAATTTGATCGTCTGACGCCTTCTTCTCTCAGCTCATCAAAGTCATTCTTCATCCAGCTTTGTCCCGTTGCTGGTGAGGAACTGCGTTCCTTTGGAGGAGGAGAGGCACTCTGCTTTTTAGAGTTTCCAGTTTTTCTTTTCTGTTTTTTCCTCATCTTTGTGGTTTTATCTACTTTTGGTCTTTGATGATGGTGATGTACAGATGGGTTTTTGGTGTGGATGTCCTTTCTGTTTGTTAGTTTTCCTTCTAACAGACAGGACCCTCAGCTGCAGGTCTGTTGGAATACCCTGCTGTGTGAGGTGTCAGTGTGCCCCTGCTGGGGGGTGCCTCCCAGTTAGGCTGCTCGGGGGTCAGGGGTCAGGGACCCACTTGAGGAGGCAGTCTGCCCGTTCTCAGATCTCCAGCTGCGTGCTGGGAGAACCACTGCTCTCTTCAAAGCTCAGCTGGAAATGCAGAAATCACCCGTCTTCTGCGTCGCTCACGCTGGGAGCTGTAGACCGGAGCTGTAGACCGGAGCTGTTCCTATTCGGCCATCAAGACGCCATAAAGAATTTTTGTGATTCAGTGATCATTTTAATGGAGGGTGATGTATGCATGCACAAATGCAATGCGCCTGGGAAAGTGCATTGATGAAATCTCACATAGGGATCTGTACAGATGAATAGGGATGGCAGCAGGGCTGGAGATGGAAACTGATAGATTAAAAAATAGTTTCAGTGTAATATGAAGCTGTATTAACATCTCCCAGCAACCTTAGCACTGGTATGTATTTGGAAACTCCTAGTAGAAACCACCATGACAAGCGTGAGACCTGTGGACTAGACCATTTCTATAATCTCTCTTAGCTATCAAAATTTCACAGTTTCAAAGTTTCTCTATTAATACCAGTTATAGCCAAGCATCCGGCGTCATTCCCTATCGCATCCCTTTTGTTTACTGTGCCCTTGGCTGTTGAAGTAGTTTCCCCACTAATCTGTAAATTCCCAGAAACCAAAAACCACATTTACTCTCTTCTCTCTGCATCTCTGCTCAGGTATCAGAGCTGTGTCTTATTCCACATCTGCCTTCTTCTCTCCATATCTCTGATCAGGTATCAGAGCTGTGTCTTATTCCACATCTGCCTTCTTCTCTCCATATCTCTGATCAGGTATCAGAGCTGTGTCTTATTCCACATCTGCTCTCTCCTCTCCACGTCTCTGATCAGGTATCAGGGCTGTGTGTCGTTCCACATCTGCTCTCTCCTCTCTGCATCTCTGATCAGGTATCAGGGCTGTGTATTATACCACATCTGCTCTCTCCTCTCCGCGTTTCTGATCAGGTGTCAGGGCTGTGTGTCGTTCCACATCTGCTCTCTCCTCTCCGCGTCTCTGATCAGGTATCAGGGCTCTGTGTTATTCTGCATCTGCTCTCTTCTCTCTGTATCTCTGATCAGGTTTCAGAGCTGTGTATTTTTCCACTGGTGCTCGATGGATTCTTGTACACTTTTTGGCCTGATATGAGAGCCCTGAAAAACCTGTGTATTTTTTGAGTCCACTCCGAAGAGATGGCAAAGTCTCCAGTCTTCCATGACCTAATTAGCCACACAGTACCTACAGTACAGCAGAGCCGCTCAGGAAGAAAATGGCTCCAACATCCTTCTCCCCCAAGTCCAAAGTCTTTGATGCAATTTAAATGGAGGGACAGAATAGAGCTCACTTCATTACTCTGCCATTTTAACTGAATGCTCTTTGACTTAATTTTATCTCAATGAGTATAAAGTGTCGAGAGACTCTCCCATAAACATGGAGTTGCCTGTGACAGCTTCTGGGAAGGAGCCCCAAGGGGAGAGGATGGTGATTTACAGTACACTAACAATGCTGCAGAACAGCTTTGGCACCAGAAGTTTCTAGGGCTTAATTACTGCCTTTAAAATTTGAGCCAGAGTTAGGCACGAAGCAGTACCCACCGGAAAGAGGTGGAGAGACGGAGACAGACAGGGAGAGAGACGGAGAGAGAGAGAGAGAGAGAGAGAGAAAGAGAGAGAGAGAGAGATAAGCATGATTGCATAGCAAAGAAGAGACTTGCAGGTGGATGTTGGTGTTATTCTGTGTCTCATGTCCTATAAAGACACCAACCTGCAGAATTCATCATTCTTACTATGGACAATTCCATCAATTCTTTCTATGCCCAACATTTACCATATAAGAAGACCTGAACCCTTTGAGCCCAACTGAAATATTCCATCCAGAAGGTGTTACAAGACTTACCTGGTTCTGAAAAGATATCAGGATTTTAAAACTATTCCTTTTAGGCAGTCCCTTGTCAAGGATTTTAAAATTCCAGTATTCTCAGAAAAATATTCACATACTTTTAATTCTGTGACCTATCCCCCCAACACCCATTTACCTTTAAATACGCTATATTTTTAGGGAAATGCAAAGATGCTAAAACAAAACACATAAACAAGCCCCCAAATAATGCTGGCTGGCTAGCTGTTTTAAGAAATAAAGATATTTTTTAAAATAAATCTTTTCAAAATGTGGTACATATTTTGAATACTATGGAATACTATGCAGCCATAAAATGCAAAAATACCATGGAATACTATGCAGCCATAAAAAAGAATGAGATCATGTCATTTGCAGTGACATGGATGGAGCTGGAGGTCATTATCCTAAGTGACCTAATGCAAGAACAGAAAACCAAATACTGCATGTTCTCACTTATAAGTGGGAGCTAAATGATGAGAATACATGGACACACAGAGGAGAACAACACACACTGAGGCCTATCAGAGGGTGGAGGGAGGGAGGAGGGAGATGATCAGGAAAAATAACTAATGGGTACTAAGCTTAATACCTGGGTGATAAAATAATCTGTACAACCAACCCCTGTGACACAAGTTTACCTGTATAACAAACCTGCATATGTGCCCCTGAACTTAAAATAAAAATTAAACAAAAATAATAAATAAAGCTTCTCTCCTTTTCCTCTTCCTTCCTGTTCCTTCATTTTCCAAGTGACAATTGAGAAGTCACTTGTTATTAAGAGGAGCTGGATAATGCCCAGAGTTTTTCATTTAATGGGACAATTATGCCTCTTGTGTCCCCTTCTGTGCTCAGTTGATTGTACTTCAAGAATTTAGAGGCTTTCAGCCTGAGGGCAATATTCAGAAAACCAGACACGAATTTCCCACAGTCCTAAGGAGAGGTGTAAAATGTAAGTGCCTGGGAGCTGAATTTCAAAGATGACTAGAAATTCTGAAATCTACTTTTAGCAACCAAACTAAACATTCTGGGTGATCCCTGGCCTATGGGGGCAAAGAGCTCTGTGGGTAGAGAGACTACAGAGGAAGTGGGGAGTTCACCTCTTTTTACCTGGCTTGCCTCATTTCCTGGGACTCCTTGTTCCTCATTCAGCCTCCAAGATATCAGAACACATGTGGTTCCTGCAGGTTCAAAGCCCTCCCCCATGACTTTGTACAAGTTGTCTTCCCTCTCTACTTGATTATTGGAAACTAGCTCAAATATCAGTTTCCCCAGTAAAAAGGATGTGTTCTCTGACCTTCTCTTCTCTGCTAGACACACTCCTTCTCTGCTTCCTTTATTCCTCATTGTCATCCTTATTATGCAGAAACTCGATTCAGCTTTCCTCCCGTGGAGAGTGAATTCTAGAGACCATGGAAAATGTCTTCTGATTTCTGTAGCAGCACAATCTAGCATGTAGCAGGAGTTCAACAAATATTTACCAGCTGTCTTAGTCCATTGGAGCTACTAGAACAAAATACCATAAATGCGTGGCTTATAATTAACAGACATTGATTTCTCACGGTTCTGGAGGGTGGGAAGTCCAAGGTCAAGGCACCAGCAGATTCTGTGTCTGTGAGGGTCGGCTTCCTGGTTCATAGAGATGTTCCTTCGCTGGGTCCTCACGTGACAGGAGAGGCAAGAGAGCTTTCTGGACCTCATTTATAAAGGCTCTGATCCATTCAAGAGGCCTCTGTCCCCAAGACCTAGTCACCCCCCAAAGGTCCCTACTACCATACATCCTAATCCTAGCCCTTTGAAGTTAGGGTTCAACACATGAATTTGAGGTGTTGGAGCACAAACATTTAGACCATAGCACTGACAAACAGACTTCCCATTCTGCATGTGTGCTATCCATTTTCAGTATTATAGAAAAACACCTGTCAAAAAACTCGCAGGTCATTTAAAAGCATATGAGTCATGGCTGGATAGATGCTGACCTGAAATTTTCTACCTTCCTAGAAGACAAAATAAGGAGGAATTGGGTGTGACTCAGAAGGACCCCCCCCCCCCACCCACCCGTTATGTTGCTATGACATGAAATGGATCAGTGTGAAATCATAACGTGGTTGGAAAACTGCTGCCTAGGAAGCACCGTCACTGAGTGGGGCTTTGAAGGAGGAGAAGAAAATCATTTAACAGGACGGAACTGTGCTACGCGGCAAGCCTCCTTGGTAGATTAAATGTATGAGTCACATTGCCCTTAGTGGGCGCGTTGTCCATTATCCCACTGAGTTCTCTGATCCTTGTAGCGCACTGTGTCAATTACACGCTCCAGGATTTACGTCAAACTTGCCGGGAGCCAGAAATTGTTCTGTGAGATTGGGAACTAGAAGAATGAACTCCCAATTATAAACAGGAGAGGATGAAATTTGCTTTCTATGATGTGTGTGGGAGGGGGTAGTGTGTGTAGGAGTTGGACACAATAGGTTTTCTATTGCCTTGTATCATCTTTTTTTTTTAATGAATTCACTTGGGTATAGAAAAACTCCAGGGAAATGATTTTAGATCACTTAAGAATACATTTATAGCCTATCAGAAAGGGCTGTGGTGAAAGGAACAGGTCACAGGCTCAGTGAAACGGGGTCCCCATCTTGGTACTGTCACTACTGGCTGACCCTGAGATCGTCTTAATCACCTCTCCACTCTTTAGTTCTCTCACTGTGGAAAGAGGAGTTTAAACTAGATGATCTCTTTCCAGTTCCAAAATTCTGCAATATGAGACACTATGTCTCTTCTTAATAGTGTCCTTAACACTACAACAGAGCATTTCAGCTTTACCCTCTAAGAATTATTTTATTAAAGTGTAGGTAGTTAATAAAGAATGAGTTAGAGACGTTTAAATCTAAGCTTCAGGAAGTGAGTTTTTACCCTAAATTTACTTACATATAACTTATTAGATAATGATGTAAAGGAAGGAGAATGGTTATTGAATGAGCTCGCTGAATAAATATTGACCCTGAGCAAAATCTTTGGTAGCGAGCTTTCAGGAGATGCAGTCTCTAAGGCACTAGAATCACTTCTTATTTTGATTTTTTCTGAAATATTTTCAAGACCACTGTAAGCAAAATACTGTTGATTATACAAATGGTTTCCCTTTCTCAGGGTTCTGTGTTCTTGGCAATTGGTTAAAGAGTGGATAAAGTACACTGCATTTTTGCTATGTCTTTTATGAGTTTGAACACATTGTGATCACAGATTGGAAATCGTTGAATGAGTGGGCACGGGCAGTAAGACGCATAGAGGTTTATTGGTCAATATCAAAAGAAATGAGCGGTGAAAAGTGAGGCTGACGCATGCCTACATTTTATGGATGAGCAAATGGATAAAAAGGGAACTGTATTTTATTATACAGTGAATTAATGGGGTGGAGGAAGGATTGGGATTTCTGACTATCTAATCTGGTCTTCAGCCCTAAAACATAAAACCCCCCTGACAAACCTGGGCTCGTTGCTTGAGGAGTTTGCATCTGGGCTGAAGGCTCCCCACACCACAGGTCCTGTGCTGTGCTGGAAGGAATTTTAGTTCAGAGGGAAGAGTGAATGATTGGAAATAGGTTTTTACTAACTTTTATTGTTCTATGAGTAAACAGAGATCATTGGTCTTCAAAGCTCTTTTTGTAACCCCTGAGTTCAATTATAGTGTGGCTATAATTCCAGGACTCTCTGAACTGCACCTACACATTATTCTCTGCACAGATCTTTAACTTTAACAGCTATTCATTAGTTCAAGAGACCTTTGCTTTTATATGAATCACAGTTTAGTGGGCATAGAAAAAGGTATTCATTCTACACAGCTGCTACTTTATTGGAACAATTCATTTAAAAAAAATTACACTCTGACCTTTTGAAAATGGGACAGAAGTTTTCAAAGTCTTTCCAATTATTAGATAATTCGCTGAAAAGCTGTGATTCTGTTTTTGCTTCTTGACTTATAAAGTGGTTCTTATAATACGTAGATCCTCACACTTTGAAAGGGAGGTTAGCTATAAATAAACTCTGCACAAATGATATTTTCACAGGAAAACATAATAAAACTCTCTGTGATGCCATCCTGCTGGGCCATGGAATCCCAGGAAAGGGGCCTAAGGGGGTCTTTATTTCATAGGCGAGTGGAGGTGGTGATCAGAGTGAATGTCATAGAATGTCCTTACATAGAACGTCCTTTAGCTACAACTGTAAGCACAGGATAAATGGTCCTTCAATTCTAGAGAGGTCTTAGGGTGTAATGGAAAGAATATCACCATTAAATGCCAACATGTGGGGAACAGACTTAGAGAAAGAGCTGGGATCAGTTTTGACATTGAAGGCTGGTTAAGAAGAAACAGAAGAGGATGAGAGTTACTCAGGGACACTACAGTTCTTTGCATGGACATGCTGGGTTAACTAGGGACAAACAGCACACAGAGAAACCCTTGTCTAAAAGAAATCTTCAAACCAGTCAGAATGGCTAATATTAAAAAGTCAAGAAATAACAGATGCTGGCGAGG